>NC_000024.10:57121509-57217415 GCF_000001405.40 Homo sapiens
GTTGAAAATTCTTTTCTTTAAGAATTTTGGATATTGGCCCCCACTCTCTTCTGGCTTGTAGAGTTTCTGCCGAGAGATCAGCTGTTAGTCTGATGGGCTTCCCTTTGTGGGTAACCCGACCTTTCTCTCTGGCTGCCCTTAACATTTTTTCCTTCATTTCAACTTTGGTGATCTGACAATTATGTGTCTCGGAGTTGCTCTTCTCGAGGAGTATCTTTGTGGCGTTCTCTGTATTTCCTGAATTTGAATGTTGGCCTGCCTTGCTAGGTTGGGGAAGTTCTCCTGGCTAATATCCTGCAGAGTGTTTTCCAACTTGGTTCCATTCTCCCCATCACTTTCAGGTACACCAATCAGACGTAGATTTGGTCTTTTCACATAGTCCCATATTTCTTGGAGGCTTTTTTCGTTTCTTTTTATTCTTTTTTCTCTAAACTTCTCTTCTCGCTTCATTTCATTCATTTGGTCTTCAATCACGGATACCCTTTCTTCCAGTTGTTCGAATCGGCTACTGAAGTTTGTGCATTCGTCACTTAGTTCTCGTGCCATGGTTTTCAGCTCCATCAGGTCATTTAAGGACTTGTCTACATTGGTTATTCTAGTTAGCCATTCATCTAATCTTTTTTTCAAGGTTTTTAGCTTCTTTGTGCTGGGTTCAAACTTCCTCCTTTAGCTCAGAGAAGTTTGATCATCTGAAGCCTTCTTTTCTCAACTCGTCAAAGTCATTCTCTGTCTACCTTTGTTCTGTTGCTGGTGAGGAGCTGCGTTCCTTTGGAGGAGGAGAGGCGCTCTGATTTTTAGAATTTTCAGTTTTTCTGCTGTTTTTTTCCCTATCTTTGTGGTTTTATCTACCTTTGGTCTTTGATGATGGTGACATACAGATGGGGTTTTTGTGTGGATGTCCTTTCTGTTTGTTAGTTTTCCTTCTAACAGTCAGGACCCTCAGCTGCAGGTCTGTTGGAGTTTGTCGGAGGGCCACTCCAGACCCTGTTTGCCTGGGTATCAGCAGCGGAGGCTGCAGAACAGTGAATATTGCTGAACACCAAATGTTGCTCTCTGATCGTTCCTCTGGAGGTTTTGTCTCAGAGGGGTACCCGCCGTGTGAGGTGTCAGTCTGCCTCTACTGGGGGGTACCTCCCAGTTAGGCTGCTTGGGGGTCAGGGACCCACTTGAGGAGGCAGTCTGTCTGTTCTCAGATCTCAAACTCTGTCCTGGGAGAACCACTACTCTCTTCAAAGCTGTCAGACAGGGACATTTAAGTTTGCAGAGGTTTCTGCTGCCTTTTGTTCAGCTATGCCCTGCCCCCAGAGGTGGAGTCTACAGAGGCAGGCAGGCCTCCTTGAGCTGTGGTGGGCTCCACCCAGTTCGAGCTTCCCGGCAGCTTTGTTTACCTACTCAAGCCTCAGCAATGGCGGGCGCCTCTCCTCCAGCCTCGCTGCCACCTTGCAGTTCAATCTCAGACTGCTGTGCTAGCAATGAGTGAGGCTCCGTGGGTGTGGGACCCTCTGAGCCAGGCGCGGGATATAATCTCCTGGTGTGCTGTTTGCTAAGACCGTTGGAAAAGCGCAGTATTAGGGTGGGAGTGATCCGATTTTCCAGGTGCCATCTGTCACAGCTTCCCTTGGCTAGGAAAGGGAATTCCCTGACCCCTTGTGCTTCCCGGGTGAGGCGATGTCTCGCCCTGCTTCGGCTCACGCTCGGTGGGCTGCACCCACTGTCCAACAAGCCCCAGTGAGATGAAGCCGGTATCTCAGTTGGAAATGCAGAAATCATCCGTCTTGTGCGTTGCTCACGCTGGGGGCTGTAGACTGGAGCTGTTCCTATTTGGCCATCTTGGAACAGGAATCAAAGGAAATTTTTTAAAAATCCCATTTATGATAGCATCAAAAAGAGTACAATAGTTAGGAATAAATTTAACCAAGGATGTAATAATGTGCACACTGAAAATTATAAAACATTGATGAAAGAAATTCAAGAAGACACAAATCAATGGAAAGATACCTTATGTTTATGGATTGGAAGAATCAATATTATTAAAATGTTCATACTGCCTGAAGCAATACACAGATTCAACACAATCCCTATTGAAATTCCAATGGCATTTTTCACAGAATAGAAAAAAAAATTCTAAAATGTGGATGAAACTAGAAGACATTATATTAAGTGAAATATACTAGACACAGATAGATAAATACTGTATGATTTCACTTATATATGGAATCTAAAAAAAATGTTCAGTTCATAAAAGCAGAGAGTAAAACAGTGGTTGACAGTGGGTGGGAGACCTGGAGAGATGTTGGTCAAAGTGTATGAACTTACAGTTGTAAGATGAATAAGTTCTGGATACCGGACATACAGCATGGCAACTATAGTTAATAATAATGTATTGAATATTTGAAATATGCTATAAGAATAGATCTTAAGCATTCTCACCACATACCCAAAAAAGTAACTATGTGAGGTGATGGATATTTTACTTAGCTTGATTGTGGTAATAATTTCACAATGTGTACATTTATCAGAATATCACATTGTATACCTTGAATATATACCATTTTTATTTGCCAATTATACTTCAAGGCAGAAAAAAATAAAATTAGAGTAGAAACAAAAGCTTGGAGGTCTGAAATGTTACTAAAAGTGTAACATTTTCCTTTTTTCAATATTCTTGCCACATGGTGGGTAGGTCCTTTTAGTCTGAAGATTCAAGTCTGTCTTATTTGGGGGATATTTTCTTCAATTAGTCCCTTGATTATTGATCCTTCTCTTTTGGCTGTATTCTCTCCTGTGACTGCTAATAGGTGTGTAAATCAGTACCAGGCACATAATAAGCACATGTTAAATATCTGTTGATCGTATAAATTGATCCTGGATTTGCTTGATCAGTTTTCCGTGTATCTTACATCTTCTTTCATGATTTACAACCTAGACATTTTGCTGTTTTCAGAACAAATTTTTTGAATTGTTACTGCAGAAGCTGCTTTTGCTCATTTATGTTCTGCTTTTAAAAAATTATGCCATTTTATTAAAATATAGTTTTTGGAATGTTGTCATGTTATCTAATTTTTTATGTCCTCTGATGACTTTGTTTAAAATTAGTTCAATTATGTCTTGTATCTGAGGATACTTATTAGAAATTTTTTTATTACTGTTATTCTATCTTGTTTCCCATATTAACTTTGTTCCATTAAGGACTGTTTGTCCCCATTGCTTTTTTTGTCTCCTCACTTTAACTGCTGTTTCTTCTCAAAAGTTCTAGTCAATGCATATATTCTATTCAACATATATATTTAGCTCTAGATGTAATCAGTTTTGGTATGTGCCTCCAGGTGGCATCCTGTGCAGTCTTCATGAAGTGAAACCCAAAGACTGGTGCCCCTGTCAGTTGTTCTACTGCAGAGACTTTGTGGAGTATGTGGTTGGAGATGAATCTATGGTTAAGGGAGTGGATTTTTTAAAACCAATATGTGAAGTATAATATACATAAAGTGCATCAACTGTAAGCATACAACTTGTTGTGTTTTCACAAAGTAAACATACCATGTAGAACCAACACCCAGATTAAGAACTAGAGCACGAACAGTACCCCAGAAGCTCCCTTCTCCCTTCTTTTAGTCACTACTCTTCTCCAAAGGTGGCCACTGTCCTGATTTCTCCACATAGATTAATAAAACATAGCAGGGGCCGAGAGTGGTGGCACACACCTATAGTCCCAGCTACTCAGGAGGCTGAGGTGGGAGGATCGTTTGAGCCCAGGAGGTCAAAGCTGCAGTGAGTCGTAATTGTGCCACTGCACTCCAGCTTGGGCGACAGAGCAAGACCCTGTCTCAAGATAAATAATAAAATATAGCAGGTATTCTGTTTATGTCAAGTTTCTATTGCTCAAAATGATGTTTGTGAGATTCATCTGTGGTAAATTGTATAAATGTAGTAGTAGATTGTGAATTGTCATTACTGTATTGTATTCCATGTTATGACTCTCCTGTAATTTATGCATTGCACAGTTGATGGGCATTTGGGTGGTTTCCAGTTTAAGGTATGAAAAGTAGTGCTGTCCAAAACATTTTTTTATATGTCTTTTGGTGAATTTGCATACATCTGTGGGACCATACCAGAGTGGATTGCTGGATTATTAGGGAGTTTTGTTGGTTGGTTGTTTGCCATTTTGTTTTAAACTCCTTGTGTCCTGGTGGGAATTGTTCAGTAGATACTGAGAAATTGATGATGCAAAAGAAAATGGATAGCAGAAGGAATGAAGTTCTATGGGTTTTGGCCCTCACAAAAGTAAATACATATCTTCCTACAGAAATCAAACAGGTTTTTATGGCTCAAAGCCCCGGAATTATACGGGGCAGAATAGGCGAATGTGCTTGCAGTCAGCTGGCTTTAAAAGAGCCTTTCTTATTGGAAGTATAGAGAGGAAAATTCTTTTCCACTAGCGGGAAGAACCACTTCTGGTGCTCAACATCATGTGCATTGCTGCAGTGGAGAAGAAAAAAGAGGGAAGCGTTTTCATTGGGCTCATACTGCTTATGATAGGCCTGGCAGAGTCTTGCTTTTGGCAACTATTGAGTATGAATGGCCAGTCTCTACTTGTAAAGAGAGGTCATTGGACTTAAATGGAATTAATGGAAGTAAAATGTTCTCAGGTTGTTACTGCAAATCATTCATGTAGTCAGTGCCAGGGGTTAAACAATTCTCGCCTCTTTTCTAGTCTGTCACCTTCAAAACTACCAGCAGAAATCTTGCTCGAGCCATGTGTATGAAGAACCTCAAGCTCACTATTATCATCATCATCGTATCAATTGTAAGTTTTTGTCCTTTTAGTGTATGGCTTTATTTTTCAATCTCTAAGAAATTAGGTACTAGAATTATTTCTCAATGATTAACACTCTGAAATGAGCTACATATGTCTTTTAATAGTGAAACACATGACCAGGCAGTGGCTTTCCTATGAAGTCACTATGAAATATCTCTACTTAAACCCCTCCTTCCTATTGAGAATTATTATATATTCTCAATAGGAAGAGATCTATAAAACTGACCTCACAGAAATGTAGTTATTTTAAATAAAGACATTTCTGGTTTATATGTAATGGGTTTATTGTTTTTATTTTTAAATTAATTATGTATTTTTAAAGTTTTAATTTCTAATATGGCAAATGCTGATAATTATAATCCCCCTTAAACAAGAACTCTTTGGAGTCCTCAGTAATTTTTGAGTGTGTAAAGAGGTCCTAAACCACAACTTTAAAAACTATTGCTAACAGGTGGGGGGTGCTTTACCCTGTTCATGGTCAGATAAAGTTGCCTTTCCTCCCCATCCTCCAGTCATGTCCAGAAGCCCAAAGTTACCTCCAAGCAGATAACTCTGACCCTGCTTCTCCTCTACCACAGCTTGAGGGTCCTCTGCCTTAGACAGCTGGATTTATCTAAAAGAGAAGAGCAGTCATAGATCTGTAGATTTTATACTGGAAGTAATTGTCATGGCCTTGAATGGTTCCTTGCTCAGGTTTCTCTTTCTAATATCACATTTTAGGCTCCTGAGCTTAGCTTCTTACTTATTATTTGGTCTGGGAGTTTAGGTTGATTTGTGCAGCTGAATTGTTAAATTCAGAATATATTTACTGATTACTTATTACATGCAGAGCACAGCTCTAAATGCAATATCAATCTTTGCGAAAAGGTGTTGTCACCTAACGAGATGTACTTCAGCTTGAAAAATCCTTATATTACAGCTGTGACAAATAGTCAACTTTACATCAAGTTGGTAAACTTTACATTTGTGGCATGTGTATGTGTGAGTATGTGTGTGTATGTGTGAATATGATGTCAGAAGTTCAACCTATTCATTAATAAACAGAATTTGCTGTAATCTGCCCCCCAACCCTGGCAATATTTATAGTTCCCTACAAGGCAAAATGCTTTGCTCACTTTTGGAGCAAAGGGCATGCAATTCATCAATGCATCCTTTTCCAAGCTTGCAAATAATGAAATCAGTCACTTAAAGATCTCAAAAAGTTGTAATTTAAAGCAAAATAAAGCCAGGCATAGGGGCTTATGCCTGTAATCCCAGCACTTTGGGAAGCTGAGGCAGGAGGATTGCTTGAGGCCAAGAGTTTGAAGCCAGCCTGGTCAACATAGTGACACCCTATCTCTACAAAAATAAAAAATAAAAAATAAATAAAATAAAGTGACTAATGCAGTGAACCTAATGTTTAAAATCTATTTTTTGTGATATAATAATGTGAACAAGTAGTGACTTTTATAATATAATTTAAAATTATAATCTAGAATTAAAAAGCAAACACATCTGTAATAGCACCAGTATTTTTGCAGTGTTACTTACATCATCTGCTTTTCATTGTTTTGGTCATCGTAATTATTGTGTCATTATCCACTGAACAGTTCGTAGCAGTGTTCTTGCTCATAAGTGATATAGATGAAAGCCTTCTACTCAGGCTTTTAAAATATATTCTTATATTAATCAAAAATAAAATTCATGTGCAAAACCTAAAAATATAATTAATGAAACCATACTTCAGGAGAATTATGGTTATTTGTGATTTTTTTATGACTTGTTAATGACACATCAGTATGAGTTGCTCATTTAGCCTTGATTCTGCCGAGTTACCAGTGAAGAGCAACAACCCCACTGCTTTCTCTCCCACTGAAGGAAACGCTAGAGTTCAAGTGGGTGTGAGTTATACCAAAAACGACAATGTTAACTACACTTCTGTCTTGGAAAATACTTGTTTAGTGTGTTCCATTACTACATAACTGCTACTCTAATGGAATCAGAAGTATTTCTTAATAAGGCTCTACTTTCCTATATATATTATTTAGAATAATATGATTGATTCAAGAAAATAAAATTGCTCTCCTCGTCCCTCCAGGTGTTCATCTATATCATTGTTTCACCTCTCTGTGGTGGATTTACATGGCCAAGCTGTGTGAAGAAATAGGAAAGAAGAAGTTACCATTAACCAAGGATATGAGAGAACAAGGAGTTAAAAGCAATCCATGTGACTCAAGCCTTTCACATACTGACAGATGGTATCTGCCAGTCTCTTCAACCCTCTTCTCACTTTTTAAAATCTTGTTCCATGCCTCCAGGTTTATCTTTGTCTTATCTACCAGTTTATTCCTGTGAACTTCAGATTGAACCATTCATTGCAGCAGTAGCCTTAAAAAGGCTTTTGTTTATTTCTTTGGTTTGTTAACTAGTGTCATCTATTTAGAGAAACATTTTTGTTTTTAATTGCTCAAAGCTGTCGCCGCTAGTCTTATGAGCTATCTACTAAAACTATGGAGAAACTTTGTATGTGCACACAAAAGTATTCAAGAGACAGTATTGCTAACATCTCATCTTAATGTCTTTTGTTATTGAGAAGTTTTAGGTGCTTCAAAACAATATAAATGGATAATAGTTGTTATTTGGGGAATTGTAATGATGTTGGTGCTGCTTCCTTCTAAGAGCTCAGACAAGTAAAGTATGAAACATTCTTATTTCAGTTAGATGGGGAACATTTTGCTAGCCCATTAGAAGCACACAGAATTATCCTTGTCCTCCTAATATTGACTTTCAGGAATAAAGTTCAGTGTGCTGATCATTCACAATACAGTGGATAGCTTGATATCTTCTGTTTTCCCATTGCAGTTGATTTGAGAAGATGAAGGTTTAAATATTGTTGAAAGTTGCAGTTTTTTAAATGTGTTCCTTTTTCTTCTGTGAATATTTAGGGCAATCGTGTCGCTAATAGAATATGTAGTAGAGGGGGTGGGGAGGTAAATTCCTCTGACTTGCCAAAGAAAAAGAAGGGAACCACAGTGGATATGCTAGCATTTTAGCTGTGCAAAGGGAGGTAGTGTGGGAAAAGTGTTTCCATTCTGGGAAAAGCCCAAACCGAATACGGTCAGCAGTCAACTCCAGGGTTTGGGCTTGATTCCTGTTGAATAATAGTTTTGAGCATTCTTTGTGGTTAAATAAATTCTTAAATCTGCCTAGTTTTGATGAATTCTTTTGTGAAACTTGAAAGAGAATAGACAGTATGACATATAGAATTAATACAAAACAGTTTAACAACCATTTAACTGCAGTGTAAGAAAATTGGACTGTAATCATATCGCTACTGGCATCTGTTATCTAGTATGCATTTCTGGTGTGTATCTGAAAGGAAGACATTTTCTACCCTAGATCCAATTGCATTTATTTATCAATAAGTGCCATTAAATTGAAATTATATTACATTTTACACTTTCTCAATGAATGAACAAATTAGTCTGTAGAATCTAGCCACCTGTTTAGCCTAGTCATGTGCCTTGAACATATATGTGTCCCATAATCTGGCTCATGGTACCTGTTCTTCTATCCAAACCTTTCAATTCATGCTACCTGATTCATTTATTTGACATAGATCTTAGGCCCACTTGAACTCTTTTCTTGTTTATCTAGCATAGCACAAACGTTTTTCCAGTCTTCTTTATCAACACTAATGCCTCTTAATTGCATCAGTATTTCCTATTGGAAAATACATCTGTTCCAGAAAAACATTTGGCATTCCTGAATAATTTCCAAATGTTTTTAATCCAAAGAAAAAGGTTTAAAGCTTATTTCCCTTTCTTATACACACCTGAATAAAATTGATGTGCATGTTTTAGGGATCAATTACCTAACTGTTCCTTGGTCTATTTATGTATAAGAATGCTTTTTAAAGCACATGTCTCATTTTAAATGACGCACAAACTGAAGATGTTAATAAAATTTAAGAGTAATACAATGATTTGCTTGTTTTAGAAGTTCTTTCTGGAACCTAATTTCTTCTGATGACATTTGCCATTGTTTACAGAACAAAAGTATTTTACTTATGCGGAAAATATATTAAGAAGTGTTACCTGGAGACTTCCAGTAAAGATCTGTAGCATAGTCTCAGGTGTGTAGAATTTCTTCAAAAGACACAAATGAACTTAAAAAATATATAGCCCATGCTGAAACCAATGAAAGATTCTGAGATGATCACACAGCCTTCACAACTATCGTCCTGAGTGCATGATTTAGACAGAACTGAAAAAGAACCCCAGGGATTTTCATCCAGTTTAGCACAATTCTGAAAAATCTTTCTATCTAAAGTTAAATGACTGGTTCTGAAAGAGACTCAAGCGGAAGGCATAATGGTGGGAGGGAATAATTCATTATAGCAAACAGGGTACCTAAACAGAAATAAAAGAAAAACAGGCACAAATCAAATATACAAATAGATAGGTCACAACAAAATAATCAGTCACTTGGGACCTCTGAACGTAAGGTGGCTAAAGTCAGGTATAGAATATATTTTTGTACAGGCTGCAATAACTTAAAAACAGCCTATTTAAGTTCTCCCTAGGTTTTATCCAGATTTCAACTGAAATGTGCATTCTCTAACAGACACTTAGAGAAAAATAAAAGATGGTTATTTATTTGGTTATGAATAAAGAAAGAAGTGACACCAGCTATTTCTCTTTACTTCAAACCCTTGGCAAAAAAAAAAACAGTGTTACAATCCAAAAGTTTCCTTAATAGTGAATGTAGGTGCCTTTAGATAATGGTTTCTTCTTGCTTGACTCTTGGTATCTATCTTTTCTGGCCTCAAGATAGACAAAGATACTGGGTTGCTTCCCAGGGTATCTTGATGGAAATGAATGTAACAACAACAGCAGCACCGTAGACCCTACCAAAGTGTTCTACATTAGAAGCAAGTCTATGTCTTGCAATGCCATCTTCTCAAGTATAATAAACAGGGTGGAAGTAGTGGTTGTGGTTGCCATGTATATCAGCGTGAATCCAGTGAAGACAGCAGAGGCAAGACAAGTGTTAGGGAAACAAAGAGTTTAATATAGGATTCAAGGTTACAAAAATGTGTGACAAACTGGGAAGTGAAGGTCTGGAAGGCAGGTACCAGAAGATCAGAAGAACAGTCCTAGTGCTTTCACTTGAGGCAGTGACATAGGCAGACAGGTCGGAGCTTGCTGGAAAACCTAAGAAGCCCTGTATGTCTGCTTGCTGATATGGTTTTGCTGTGTCCCCACCCAAATCTCGCCTTGAATTTTAATCCCTATAATCCCCACATGTCAAGGGAGGGACCTGGTGGGAGGTGATTGGACCATGGGGGCAGTTTCCTCCATGTTGTTCTCATGATAGTGAGGGAGTTCTCATGAGATCTGATGGTTTTATAAGTGTTCGACAGTTCCTCCTTCACACACTCACTCTCTCCTGATACCTTGTGAAGAAGGTGGCTGCTTCCCCTTCCACCATGATTGTAAGTTTCCTGAGGCCTCCCCAGCCTTGCGAAACTGTGAGTCAATTAAACCTCTTTCCTTTATTAACTGCCCAGTCTCGGGTAGTATCTGTACAGTAGTATGAGAGAAGACTAATACACTTGCCAAAGTTGGTGTGTGAAGAGAGACATGTGGAAAGGTTTATGGAAGCCACAGCTTCAGTAGATCTGATGCCAAGTACCAAGTAGTAGGCTTGCAGCCCCAGTTGGTTAGCATGACTAACAGTCCACAGAATGAGTTGGATGTGGAATGGAAAAGGTTGAGGAAAAGCTGCGACACACCAGGCACCTAAGCATCTTTGTATCCTTTGAAGGGTACTGGCCTCTACTTTTGTTCTGCTTTCCAAGTCTCATATAAGTGCAACTCACTGAGAAAGGCTAACCCTAAAACCATCTAGGGTAAGGGGATTCTATGAAATTCTCAGCTTCTGGCAAAAGCAATGGTGCCAGTCTAGCATAGCCCAGTTCCTCCTAGACTCATTCATAGTATTGGCTCTACTGCTTTGTCAAGACAATTTTGGTAAGTTAAAGCATTCTTCTGGTCAGAATACACTGTACAAAATTATTTTGGGTTCGTGCTATTTATTAAGCCCAAACAATCTAAATCCAAAATGCTGTGACTTTTTACATCTCTTCCAAAGAGAAAAAAAATCATGGCAATATTCTGTATAAGAAAACTAACATGCACGGGCTGACACCATGTTTTTTCTTTTTAAATCCCCATTGCAAGTTTAGAAAAGCACAAAGAAAACTTTAAGAAGTCTCATAGAGAATATTGAACTCAAGACTGCAACTTACAGACTTTCACTGCTGGCCAAGATGGAGTAACAGATACAGGGCATTTACCTACCTGCGTGAAATAACACCCCCGGAAAGACAAAATATATGAAGCAACAGTTTTCAAGACACTGGACACTAGGCAACAAAGGACAGTGATCTTTCGAAGAGTTGAATCCTACAATTGTACCAGCTTATTCTGAGGAGAGAGTAACTAGGTCATAATACAATGAGGAGGAACCCAGGCAGAGCCTGGCAGATTCCCTGGGTTGAGATGTGACTTGAGATTTCCAGGAAGATCAAGACAGATGTCTTTGCAGGATAGAGTACTAGAGAGGAGAGAGCTGCACAGAAAGGACTCTAGATCTGAGGAAACTACTCAATGGCAGAGAAAGAACCACCCGAAAAAAGATTAGACGGAAGAGTTTCCTGCACTCACGCAGTACCAGAAGTAGTGCCTGTATATGCATTCAAACTGGAAAATTTCATGAATCACAGAGTATTTGATAGAGTACCCAGAAAGGTCTTACCTCAGTAATGGAGAATAAATAACCCTAGTCCAGAGCTTCTCAACCTTGGCACTGTTGGCATTTGGAGCCAGATATTTTTTGTCATGTGGGGCTGTCCTGTGCATTGTATTATAGTATTTTGCCAGCATCCCTGGCCATCAATCTACTAGATGCCAGGGCCACTGTCTTCCCAGTTCTGACAACCAAAAACCTTCCAAATGATTTCACAAAGTTGGGAAGACAAAATTGTCCCTGATTGAGAACCATTGCTGTAGACTAAACACACCTCTCATCCAGCTTGATACATTTTAAAAGTAAGACCTGAGATGATGAAATTGTTTTCCAGGTAACTGCATCCCAGAACAAACCTCAAGAATATATTTATGGAAACACAAACACAGCACGCAAATTAAAATTCAATGTGTAAGGCAGCAAATACAAAATTACCGGTCACACAAAGAAGCAGGAAAATATGACCAACGATAAGATAAAAAAATTTATCAATTTAAATAAATGGAGAACTGACATGTTAGAATTAGCAAAGATATAAAAACAGCTATTAATGTTGTATTACATGTGTTCTAAAAGGTAAGCAGAGGCATGAAATAAAAAGGCACATTTAATTTCTAGAAATTAAGACTAGGATATCTGAGATGTAAAATACACAGGATTGGATTAATGACCTAGTAGACATAGCAGAAGTAGAAATTACTGACCTTGAAGACTAAGCAATAGAAACTCTCCAAATGAAACACATCAATTAAAAGATAAAGTGTTAAATGTCAAAGTGTATTTTTAGAGTCAACTCTTATCTTTAAGAAACTCACTTAAAATGTTAATATAGGTTAAAAGTAAAAGCATGGGAAAATATACCATGCAGACAGTAATGAGAAAACTGCAGTAGATGTCAGAGCAAAGGATATTGCCAGGGATAGAGAAGATTGTTTCATAATGATAAGTGGGTAAATTCATCAGGTGTCAGGGTTTTTAGGGTTTAAGGTTGGGGATTAGGATTACCAGTTTAAAATCTAGGAGTTAGGTTTTGGGCTTCCTCTGGAGCCTACATGGTCTGAGAAGGAAAAGCAATGAAATACTTCAGGTTTGGTGGTACTTCAGATTCTGATCTTCAATCTGCCTGTTAACATACATTTTTAGTCTTCAAATTAGCTGCTCCATACATTCCATCTAGGATTTATAGTTGTGGGAGAGACACAATAGAGTGTGCTTTCTCCATCTTGCCCAGAATTTGAACTCCAGTGCAAAATAACCCTAACCCCAAAACTTGGTGTTATAAAACAATTGCGGTGTTTTATTTCCTAAGGTTCAGGTTCAGGTGTAAGCTTTGGGATTAAGAAATTGAGTTCAGGTTAGGGTTTGAGTTCAGCTTGAGCTTCTGTTTTAGAATTAGTGCTGACATCAGGGATTGGGTTGGGATTATTATTGAGGTTTGGATTCATACTCAGATTGAAAGGTTTTGGGGTTTTTTTTGTTTCGGTTTTTTTTTTAGACAGAGTCTTGCTCTGTCACCCAGGCTGGAGTGCAGTGGCACAATCTTGGCTCACTGCAACCTCCGCCTCCTGGATTCAAGCAATTCTCCTGTTTCAGCTTCCCAAGTAGCTGGGACTACAAGCACACACCACCACGCCTGGCTAATTTTTGTATTTTTAGTAGAGACAGGGTTTCACCATCTTGGCCAGGCTGGCCTCGAACTCCTTACCTCAAGTGATCCACCTGCCTCGGCCTCCCAAAGTGCTGGGATTATAGGCATGAGCCACTGCACCCAGCCAGATTGAAGGTTTTGAATTGGAATCAAGTTCAAATTTAGGATTGAGGTCATAGTCAGGGTTTGGTTAGGTTTAGGATTGATCAGGTTACAGGCATGGGTTCGGGTTTAGGGGTTTTGGTAAGGTTCTAGCTCAGGTTTGAGTTTAGGCTTAGAGTTTAGGGGTTCCATTTCAAGTTAAGACTCTGGATCAGTTTTATGGCTTAGGGATTTGGGTTCAAGTCTGGGTTAGATTTTGAGTTTGGAATTAAGGTTTATATTTATGGTTAGGGTTTAGGGTATAAGGCTTGGGTTAGGGTTAGTGTGGATGTTGAGTCTGAGGTTTGGGCTTAGTTTGAAATTTGGTTTGGGCTCAGGCTTGTACTCTGACTTGACTTTGATTTTAGGGTGTATGGATTCAGACTTGGGTTCTGGTTCAGGTTCAGAGTTTGGATTTGTATTTGTGTTAGGATTTGGGGTTGGATTAAAGGACATTATTGAAATGCAGTTTGGTTCTGGGCTGGAGTTAAGGTAGGGATTTGGTTCAGTTTGAGGTCTGTGTTGAAGCTCGGGCTCTGAGTCCAGTTCATGTTGGAGCTCTGACTAGAGCTCAGTTTGGACTAGGGCTTGGGCTCTGGCTGAGATTGAGATTAGGACAGGGGCTTAGGATGGAGCTAGGTGCAGGATAGTTCTCCAGATATCCTTGGACCATCCCAGTTCTCCCTTCTTTCTCACTCGTAATTTTCAAGAATAATTGTAGAATGTCTGGGAATGCAACACCCTGAGATAAGGAAGGCTAGTTGGAACAGCCCAGGCTTTGTTCCAGTGCCCCTCACCCAGAACAGGATGTCATACGACGCTTTAGACAAGTAGTTCCTGTACTCCCAGGGTATAAAATCCAGAGCAAACTGCTTTCCAGGATCCTTCAATTGCAGTGCAAGTGAGGCATGCACAGACAAGACTCTATCTGCCCTGAGCAGCTTTCCTGAACCTTGGGGGACTGGCTCACAGTGAATCCTAGGCTTCTGTTTTCTCTTACTGCCTATTTGTAATTAATACATTTGCTTCATCATATAACTTGTCTCACCAGACCCAGACAAGTTGGTAAGCAGTGCACAGTGAACCTGCTTTATGCAAGTTTATGGCTGGGGCTGGAAATGGTAATGGGATTGGGATTAGCTAGGTTTGGATTCTAGTTCAGGTTCAGATTTGGATTTAGGGTTTTCATGTTCAGGTTCAGGCTCTATCTTGGGTTTGGAGTTTAGTAGTTTGGGTTCAAGGTTCAGGTCTGGATTCAGATTTACAATTTGGGGTTTGGGTTCAGGATTATGATTTAGGTTTGGAGTCGGTGCTGGAGTGATTCACATTTGGGCTTGAGCTCTCACTCAGGTTTAGTTTTAAGTTTTAAGCCTGAGGTATCACTCTCATTCAATGTCAGAATTTAAGAGCAAATTTGATTGGAATTTGGTTTAAGATTACAGTTAGTGTTAGGGTTGAGTTCACGGTTTAAGTCGTGTTTTGAGTTTAGGTTTAGATTGGATTTATGGTTTGGGCGTGGGCTTGGGCTCAGACTCTGGCAATGGTTTTATGTTCAGGGATTTAGGCTTGGGTACGAATTCAGGTTAGAGTTGCTATTTGGCTCCAGGTCAAACTCAGGGCATGGGTCAGGTATTAGGTATATGATTGGAATAGAGGTCCGGGTTTGGGTGTGGTCTTGTTTGGATGCAGGGGTTGACTTGAGTTCAAGTTTGGATTTAGGGGTCTGGGCTGAGGACAATGTTGGCTCTAATTTATGGTTGTGGTTGGTTTTGGAATGTGGTTCAGGTTAGAGTTTTGGGCTCAGGTTTGAACTAGTGCTCTGCTCACACTGGAGTTGGTGCCATGGATGGGGACGGGGTTTGGGCCAGTGTTGAGGCTGGGTTTGAGTTTGGGACCATGAAAAGGTTGAAGTTGAGGTTAGTGTTGGGATCAGGATTTGGGTAAAGGATCAGGTCAGGGTTTGGAATTAAGTCAGGATATGATCCCTCAGCCTGGGCCTTGCCTCAGACTTGGTTTTAGAGTTTGGGTTTTGAATTCAGGTTAGTGGTCAGGTGCAGTGTTCTAGTCATGTTTGGAGTTTGAGTTTAGGGTTAGAGTATCAATTTGAGTTTGGGTTCATGCTTAGGCCTTCTTTTGGGGGCTAGGTTGAGGTCAAGGTGTAGCTCAGGCATAGGGTTTAGGTTTGGGTTTGGTTTTAGGATTCAGGCTTGGGCTGGGGTGTAGTTAGGTTCCAGTTAGGTTCTAGTTCAGGATTTCGGAGTTAAATTTTAGGTTCACATTCAGAGTTTGGATTGCGGTTCACATTCATGCCCAGACTTGGGCTTTGACTCCATTTCAATATTATGGCTAAGGGCTTTGGATTAGGATTTTGATTGGGGTTCAGGTTTTGCCTTTAGGTTTGAGTCAGGCTTTAATGTTTAGAGTTTGAGTAAATTATGCTTTAATTTCAGAGTTTGGATTTAGGTTATATTTCAGGTTTAGGGCTTTAGTTTGGTGTAGTTGTGGTTGGGGACAGGGTTTGGAACCCAGGTTTGGTTCTGGGTTGAAGTCAGCATTGTGGTTGGGATTCAGGTTGGTGTTTGGTTCAAAATGGGTTTTGGGATTTGGCTTTGGCTCAAGCTCAGGCTCTATTTCTAGCTTGACAGCTCAAGCTCTCACTGGTGCTGGGACTGGGATTGATGTCAAGTGTGGGTGTGGGATGTCAGGGTTGGGTTTGGGGTTGGGGGCAGGATTTGAATTGGGTTTTTTATGGTGCTCAGGCTTGAGTCCTGACTTGGCTTTGTTTTGGGGTTTAGGGATTCCAGCTTGGGTTCAGGCTTTAGAAATTTGAGTTAGGTTCTAGTTCAGGTTTGTGTATATGGGTTTAGATTGGAGGTTGAGGTTGGAGTTTTTGGTTTTAAGAATTTAGGGTTGGGTATGTGGTTGGGGTTAGGAACGGTTGGGGACAGAGTTCAAGTCAGGGTCGATTTGGGGGTTGGGGTAAGGGTTTGGACTCAGCTTGGACTCAGTTCTCAGGCTGGGGCTTGGCATGGGCTGGAGCTGGCACTTGGACTTGGCCTGTTCTTTGAATGTACTGGGGCTAAGGCTTAGCCTGAATTGGGGATAGGGTTCAGGTTGTGACTAGAGTTTTTTGTTTCTGATTATGTTTGGATTAGGGTTGGGGTTGAGGTCAAAGTTCGGGGTTGGAATTTCATCAGGAGTATTGATCAGGATTCAGATCAAGCTCTGATTCAGGCTTGGTTTGGGCATTTAAGGGTATGAGTTCTTGTTCATGTTTACAGTTTGGGTCCTGGTTCATGTCTTAGGGTTAAGGTTAATTTTAGGGTTGAAGTTCAGGTTCATATTCTGGTTGAGAGTTCACCTTTGGGTTTGAGTTGGCTTTACAGTTTAGGGTTCATGTTTGTGTTCTCCTTTGGATTTGTCTTTAGGGTTTAGATGTGAGGTCTGAGTAGTAGTCAAGTACGATTTTAAAGTTTAGGGTTGGTGTTGTGGTCAGAGTTGCTTTTGGTGTAGTGTCTAGGTTCATGCTCAGGTTTGTACCAGGGCTGAAGCTAGGGCTTGGCTTGGGGTTGGGTTAGGGTTAGGGTAGGGTTGGGGTGCTGGTTTTGACTAGAACTTGGGCTAGGATTGAGTTGGGGCTGCTTTGGATTATTGCGATTGGGTCGTGGAACCCCAGATTCAAACTCGTGTACCCAATGCACAGCTGAAGCCAAACACCGAGACACCAGTTCTTAGAGATAGAGAAAGGTTTATTAGATTTTGCCAAAGCAAGAAGGCGGGAGAGCAAGATCTGTCAAATCTGCCTTAACAAAAAGATGCAGCAAGGAGTTTTTATGCAGCTAGGGAATAAGGGAGTATTTCAGAGAACTGAAGGGCAACGTCTGTGTTTCTTCAATCTCAGATAACACCTGGAACAACCAGACTTCTGGGCATCAAAACCTGGTCCCAATGTCCTTCAAAACATTCATTCCTTTTGCCATTTTTTTTTTTTCGTGGCCCTGAAGTTATCTCCTCCTGCTTGACAAAGAAAGAATATGTCAGTAGTTTATAATTATATTGTGGAAACAAGGAATAATGGGCCAAAAATGAGTAGTTAACATGTTTAAGCAGTGGTCTGATCAGAATTTTCATTATTTCAGTCACTAAAATGCTGGGATGCTGAAATCTCAAGGGGCCTGATTACAGTTGGATTAGGGTGGCATGGAGTCAAAGTTGGGAACAGCATTGGCCTTGATATGGACTGGTGTTCTGTCTTGTTTAGGCTTGGGCTCTGACTTGGGCTTGGTTTTAGGTTCAGGTTCAAATGTTCAGGTTCAGGTTCTGACTTGTGTTCAGTGTTTGGCTTTTAGTTGGGATTTAGTATTAGGGTTAGTATTAGGATGGGCTTGGGGTTTGGCTTGTTTGTCAGGTCAATGTTAGAATTGGGGTTCTAGGGCTAAGTTTTAGGGTTTAGGGGTTCAAGTACATGTTCTGGTTTGCCCACATGTAAGTATAGTGTTCTGGGATTTTGGTGGGGTTCAGCTTTGGGTTTGATTGGGGTTTGTGGTTGGGCTTGAACTTGGACTCTCACTTGTGCTCAGTTTCAATGTATAGGGGGGTTCGTGTGCTGGTTCAGTTTTAGTGTTGTGTTTCAAAGACCAGAGCCAAGATCACAATGGTAGAAGGCAGATTTAACCCAGAGGAGAGCAGACCCCAGAGTGCAGGGGGCGGGGTCCTGAGCTTAAAGGGTGGCATCGCCCTGGAGTTAGAGGAAACAGCCTGGCCCCAAATGGTGAAGCTGTGGAAACAAAAGGCTGAGCCACATGAGCATAGGCAGAGGCCTGAGCTTCAGGCCCAGGGTGAGCAGTCTCATCCTTAGATGGAGGAGCAGTGGGTGCAGCTGGGAACAAAAGAATGAGCCATGCCCCCAGAGGGCAGAACCGCAGGCCCAGATGTCAGTTTCATGGTTAAGGGTTTAGGTTTGGGTTAGAGTTTGGGATTAGTGTTTATGGTTAAAATTAGAGGTACAGTAATGGTTGTAATTGGAGTTAGGTTTGGGTTTGGCTTTGACTTTGGGGCTTGGTATGGTTCAGGTTTATGCCTGGGTTGGGCTCCTGATTTAAGCTTGGTTTTAAAGTTTAGAAGTTTGGACTAAGGTTTTATTCAGCTTCAATGTTTGGCTTCAGGTTTCAGCTTGGGTTTAGAGTTTAGGTTTTGGGTCAGGTTACATTCGGTTTAAAGTTTGAGTTTGTGTTCAATTCTGGTTAAGGATTTTGGATTGGTGTAGGGGTCAGGGTTCAGGTCATGATCTGTTTGGAATTCAGAGTTTGGATTTGGGTTCAAGTTTGGGATCGAGGTTTATGGTAAGGGTTAGGGTTGGAATTGGAGTTGGGGTTTGATTCAGATTTGGATTGCAGTTTATGATGTCCTGGCCTGTGCATAGGCTCTGAATGAAGCTTGACTTTAGAGTTTAGGGGGTTGAATTAGGGTTTTGGTTCATGTTCATAGTTCACCTTCTGGTTCAACTTCAGGTTGGTATTGATGTTATGGATGGGATCAGGTTTGATGTCAGTGTCTGATTGGAATCTGGTTGGGGTTTGGGATTAGACTCTTGACTTGGGCTGGATTTTAGGGTATAGGACTTTGGCCTCAATTTGGGTTAGGGTTTAGTGTTTAGGACTAGGGTTCAGATGTGGATAGGATTTGTGGTTTTGTATTGAGGTCACGGTTATGATTGACAAACAGGTCACATAAAGAGTTTAGGATTGTGGTTGGGACTTGGGCTTAGGCTCAGGATAGGGTTAATAGGTTTCAGTTGGATCCTAGTTTACATTTGGATTAAGTGTCAAGATTTCTGGATTTGGGTTCAAGTGTGGGGATGGTTTTGTAACAGTGAAACAGCAAAAAAACTAACATAACTAATTCTATTTTTGTTTAAGGGACATTTACCCATTCCTGCACATAGGCTAGGATAATTTTAGAGCACTGAGATAATATGGAAAAACAGCAATCACGTAGCTTTTAAAACTAACTCTGAGATTAAAGAAAAAAGCATGTAAACAACTAACTGTGTTTTGTTAAAAGACTTATAGGAGCATTGTGACCTGACCAAGGACAAAGAATTTCCCAACCTCCTCGGGCCCTCACTGGCGCCCAGATGTCTGAAGTTGTTGGTCACTTCTAGATCCCAACTCCTTCCTCTACCTCTTGCCTTTAACATTAAAAGAACCTAAAATTTATAGTGACTTAAGATGATACTTTAGGATGCTAGCATGTCATTTTCTAGGTTTGCTGGCTTTCTTAATAAACCTGCTTTTCCTCTCACCTCCTGTCTCTTGAGTTTTGTCTTTCAAGTAGCAAGCAGCTGAACCTGGGTTCAGTTACAATTTCAGGATACAGGCTCAATTCTGGTTTAGGACTTACGGTGGGTGTTACCACTAGGGTTAGGGTGAAATTGATGTTGAGTTTCACTTTGGGATAATATTGAGTTTTGATTATGGTTTCAGATTTAGGCACTCAAGTTGAACTGGGGAAAATTGAGTTAGGGTTAGAGTCAGAAGTCTAGGTCAGGTTAAAGGTCAGGATCAAAGTTAGGGGTCAGAGATTGGGTCAGGGTCAGGGTCTGGGTTATAAATATGGGTTGGGGTTGGTGTCTGGATCTGGGTTGGGTAGGGGTTGGGGTCAGGGTCAGGGTTGGATCAGGGTCAGTGTCAGCATAGGGTTAAGTTTAGGGGTTAGGGTTAGGTTTTGGATCAGTGTTGGGGTCAGGGTCGTTATCACATTTTCCTCATTAGTTTAGCTTTATAATAAGTGTTAGGGTACAGATGTGTGAGTTTCTTAAGTTTGTGTTTATTCAGTGTTGTCTATTATAGGTTTAGAAACAGTTTGCTGGGAATTTAATTGAGATTGCACTGAATATATAGATCAACTTTGAAGGAATTTTTATCTTAACTATGTCTAGTCTACCAATGGTGAATAAGGAATATCTCTGCATTTATTTACGTTTTGTTTCTTTTAACTGTGTTTCTAGTTTTTATGAATGCATATGTGTACCTTTTTAAAAAATTTATACTTAAGAACTTTAATTTTGAGGCCTGCTGTTGTAAATGATATTGATTTTTTTAAATACTGTATTCCAGCTTTCAAATTCCAGTTTTATCCATACATAATTGCTGATACGTAGGACATCAATTGACTTTTGTCCGTTGACCATCTACTTTGCTTTTTATCTCTATCCATTTTGGTCAAGGCAAGGGATGGTAGGCTCTCTTTCAGTTTTAATTTCCAAAATCATGGCATGGAATTATCAGAACAATGGATTTTCAGAGATTCACGGGGACCGCAGACCGCAGCCTATGGGCACCACTAAATCGTGAGCGCCTGAGCATCCTGTACTGCCCCCAACGGCCTGTAGGGGCATGCAAACCCACCTTTTTGGACCCTCATGAGGCCCCCATGTTCTCTGCGTAGACATCCGGCACCTCCACAGTGAGGACCAAGCTTTGTTCTCAGGTTTCACCCAGGAGGTGCTGCTGTGGCTACAGGACAGCTGGGGGCCATGCCCAGGGAGGACCCAAATCTCCTTCTCCTCAGGACCCACCTGGGAGACCCTCTGTGGCTAAGGAACACCTGGGGGTCGTGCCCAGGGAGGACCCAAGCCTCCTTCTGCTCAGGAGGGACCTGGGGAAGCACCCTGGCTTCAGGACACCTGAAGGTGAGGAATAAGGTTCCTGTCCATGCCCTGAGTGCAGAGGAGGGAACGCTGCCATATGTTTTACTTTCCTCATGTTGTTAGGGATCCTTGGGGTGTTACTTTTCTGGCCGGAAACCTTTGTGGCTAGTGGAGCCTTTGCTGCAGTTTTACCCTGGCCCGCTGGACTCGTTCTACCCACTTGGCCTGGTAGGCTGCACTCAGCTCATGCTACTGGCCTGGAGCCCATGCCTGCCAAGGGCGAGTCAGGCGTGGAGTGGTGAGGGGTGTCTGAGCGATTGTAGGGTCTGGCCACTGCACAGCAGGCAGCTCAGGGTGCCGGCATGGGTGCTGGCTCTCTGCAAGGCTGTAGCTGGACTCTCTTTTCGGACTCAGCCCACCTGCACCCAGGTGAAATAAACAGCCTTGGTGCTCACACAAAGCCTGTTTGGTGGTCTCTTCACGCTGACGCGCGTGACACCAATGATGACCTTAAGTGATTTTTAATTAACTTCAGCTTAATAGGCCATCATTTTCAGGACCCAACTGTTAAAAGACAAAATTACAGCACATCTAGGTTTGCAGATCTTAATTGGCTTTTGTTTGAGATTCTAGAATCAGGCAGCAGTCCGGACCAAAAATGGTCCAGAATGCTCTGCCACATGACATCTGCAGGTTATGTTTATAACCACAGAAAAGAAAGTGACATACAGAAAACAAGTGAAATACAGAGACAGCTCCATTGGTTACAGCCTGGATTTGCCTTTATGGAACCTAGTTTGAACAGTTGGCCGCCTGCCATTGGCTGACACTTGGCAGCTGTGATTGGTTTAGCCTCAGCTATTTGTTATAAAGACAGATTTCTAAGTCAGATTTTCAGTTTGTTTATATACTAACTTAGGTTGTAGTTCTTTACAAGGACTCGTTGGGAGGCTTCTAAAGCCCAAATTTAGTTTAACAACTCCCTCCTTTTGGTCAGCCTTTTAATTTTGAGAAATTGACCAAAACTTTTGGGCATTGTCACCATGACTCCACTCTCTGTCATCATTATAAATGGGCTTATTTGGTCTCAGTATGGAATTCAGAAGTTCTTATTTGGTCTCAGTTCCCACTGGGCAATAGCAGAACAGTGAGTTTTGTAAGATGGAAACAAGGAAACAGAACAATGGAAAATAACAGCTGATTGGTTATGTAAACCAAAAATAAGATTCTAAGGCCCCCAACCACCTGAATGGACTCCTCTCAGCCAAGGGGATTGCAGAGTTAACCTGAAAATCTAGTTCAGACCATTGTGGAAGAGGGGGTTGGACATGCCTCATTACACCCCTCCAGCATTAACATCAACACAGACCTTAGGTCTGATAAGAAACGTTTATAATCTTTTTTTCTCTGAAGCCTGCTACTTGGAGGCTTCATCTGCATAATAAAACCTAGGTCTCCATAACCCCTTATCCACCCAGACATTCCTTTCTACTGATAATAACTCTTTCAACTAATTCCCAATCAGAAAATTTTTAAATCTATCTATGACCTGGAAGCCCCCACCCCGAGTTGTTCCACCTTTCCAGATCAAACCAGTGTAAATCTTACATGTGTTGATTGATGTATTATGTCTCCCTAAAATGTATAAAGCAAGCTGTACCCTTACCAACTTGGGTAAATGTCATCGGGACCCCCTGAGGCTGTGTCACGGGTGTGTCCTTAATCTTGACAAAATAAACTTTCTAAATTCACTGAGACCTGTCTCAGATATTTTGGGTTCAGTTAATATCAGGTCCCTTTTTGGGTAAGGGTTAAAGCAGAGGGGATTTCCTTATGCTGACTCAGGTAGACGGGAATCCTTTCTTTTTCAGGAAACACTGGTCTGTTTTGGGATTTATCTGCTTCCTTAACACTTCAGTTTGGTTGTGTGGCATTTGGCGTCAGTTATTCCATCCTGGTTTGGCCTGGTCTGTTGTGGCCTAGTGCAGGAGCCCAGTTAATAACTCTCCCCTTTTGGTCAGGTTCTCACCTAGGTGACCAAAACATAGGGCATTAGTAGTACTCTCAGTCACCATCATTTTGGGTTTCTGGTCTCAATGTAACGCCAAAGGTTCTTGCCTTAGCCACACCAAAGAATTGATGTGGCGGCAGCCGCGGTGAGAGAGAGACACGGATCAGACTGAGAGAAAAAAGCTGTAGGCTTTATTGAGCAGAGTGGCAGTACAAAGCTTCCACAGCGTGAAGGGTCCTGGGCCGGTAGCCAGTGTTAGATTTTTTGATCACCCCTTTAAACCCTTTAAGGCGGGAAATACGTGCGGCGGGAAGATGTTACCAGAGCGAGAAACAAAGACAATTAACATGTATCAGATCTGAGGAAACCGGAATTGTAACTTAAGGTTATCTACTTTATGACCTTGCAGCGGCATGGCAAAGGAGACAGGATCTCACAGGATTTTACAAACTGTGTTTACAAGGAATCGGAATTGGGAGCATAGATAAGGTTTGCTGGTCACAGAAAAACGGGCTTTTAACATTCCTTTCAGTTTCAGGGGAGGGGGAAGGGAGAGAGGGAGCGAGGACACAGGGAAGCTTACAGCAAAAGTTTCGCTGTTTATAGCTTTCTTGGGGAAGAAAACACATGCACAAATTCTGATGTTAGGAATATTTTAAGCATATATCTTCAATATTATTCATCCAGGACCAAAGTAAGTCCTGTTGCAGAAAATGAGTTTCATAGCTTTCTGAGCCCCTGCTAGACCCAGGAAGCCCAGCTGGCACCTCCTCTCATCAACACATCGTTTCAGTAAAGTCAAGAAAACTTTATTCCATTATTGTTACCAGTGGCAGGTATCCAAGTTACCCTGAGTTACTAACAGTGAATCCATATGTGTCTGCAGCAACTTCAGTTCTTGCCTCCTTAGGAGAAAGAATTCGACTGAGGGACATAAAGTGGAAGAAGAGACCAAGGCGAGTTTTAGAAGAAGAGTGTAAGTTTATTTTAAAAAGGCTTATAGAACAGGAAAGGAAGGAAAATTCGCTTTGAAAGAGACCCAAGTAGGCATCTGAAGGTCAAAGACAGCATTTAACTTTGATCCTAGGACTTTATAGGCTCACCTCTTTCCCATGATTTTTCCCTTAGGGTGGGCTGCCCGCATGCACAGTGCCCTCCTTACCCTTGGGAACTGAGCACTTGCCGTCTTTTTAGGAAGCTTGTACGCGTGCCCATCTGAGGCTTTCCTCTCTTTTCTGGTGGAGTGTCCCCAGAAGGTCATACTTCACCATTTTGTCTCTTAAGCACATGCCCAGGAAGTTTCTTCTCCCTGTCATTTGCATTCAATTAACACTTCAATGTTAACAGCTGTGGATCATCAGGAGATTCTCTCTCCCTGGTGCCCTGGTGCTGGCTGCCAAATTAAAAAACCTGCTTGTAACAGAAGTTGAATGGAGCTCATATCTACAGATATTTAGGTCTGAGTCTTCTGGGCAGCTGTCCTCATCTTAGCTCAAGTAAACTGTAAAATTCTATTTTGTGCCTCAGCTTCTTCCTTTAGGTCAACAATATGAACATACTTCAATATGGTACATTTGTTCCTGATGAGCTACTTCTGTTGTACAATCAAATGTAAGGAAGTGTCAATGAAAACAGTCAAACTCTGTAAAACATTTGAAGAGATTTATTCTGAGCCAAATATGAGTGACTATGGTTAGGACACAGCCCTTAGGAGGTCCTGAGAACATGTACCAAGGTGGTCAGGGTACGCCTTGTTATTATACATTTTAGGGAGACATGGCACTTCAATCACATACATTTAAGAAATACATTGGCTTGATCTATAAAGCTGGGACAACTCGAAATGGGGGGCTTCCAGCTTACAGGTAGATTTAAAATTTTTCTGGTTGACCATTGGTTGAATTTATCTAGAGACCTGGGATCAATAGAAAGGAATGTCTGGGTTAAGATAAAGGATTTTAGAGACCCAAGTTCTTATTTGCAGAGGAAGTCTTCAGGCAGTAGGCTTCACAGAGAATACGTTTTAAAATGTTTCTTATCATACTTAAAGTCTGTGTTGATGTTAATTCCAAAGAGGTATAATGAGGCATGTCTGACCCTCACTTCCCGTCTTGGCCTGAAACAGTCTCTCAGATTAAATTTTAGAGAGCCTTGGCTGAGGAGGAAGTCCATTTAGAAGGTTGGGAGCCTTAGAATTTTATTTTTGGTTTACAGAAGTGTATTTTGCTTTTGATATTATTAACTGTATTTCAAGTCTAACATGTTTTCCTAGGAGCATTAAATACTCTGTGGATTTTATTACACAAATAAGGCACAGATCCCATTTTATCATTACCTTCATTATTACCTATATTGACATAATTTCAACTGAATTTGGAAACATTCCAGAGTCTGGGCTTCCAATAATCCTTTGTGATCCTCTAAAAGGTATATTACATTTTTCCTCAAGACATAGCAATATCTAAAATCACTCATAGAATGTCCTGCCACTTTTGTTTATCTAATTTCATCAATTTCTCTAAAATTGACTTTGAATATCCCTTTAAACTCTTCTGTTTTAGAAAGCATCACAAGGAGACACCGAATGATCGTGGTCACAAAATCTGTTCATATTCTTCCTTTCTCTGAATATTTTTTGCAGTGACAAATATTTGTTTCTGTTGTATTACTGTTAAAAGGAATGCTTGGAAACAAAGACAAAGATTCATTACAATAAGTGATCCAGTCACAATAAATCAATTTGTCATTTGGACCTTTTTTTTTTTTCTGAGATGGAGTCTTGCTCTGTCACCCAGGCTCGAGTGCAGTGGCGCGATCTCGGCTGACTGCAACCTCCGCCTCTTGGGTTCAAGCAATTCTGCCTCAGCCTCCTGAGTAACTGGGATTACAGGTGCCTGCCACCACACCCAGCTAATTTTTGTATTTTTAGTAGAGACCAGGTTTCACCATGTTGGCCAGGCTGGTCTCAAACTCCTGACCTCGTGATCCACCTGCCTTGGCATCCCAAAGTGCTGGGATTACAGGTGTGAGCCACCGTGCCTGGCCCTTTTTTATTTTTTAAAGTTGTACTTTTGAAAATGTTCAGCAATGAATTGAAATAGTCTCTAAAATGTGATTTTTTCCCTGGTCTAAGGTGACCAGATTTCTAGAGAGTGAACCCAGGACAGAACCACACCACAAGTAAAAAATATGATTAATAAGTTTACACGAGTATGTTATTTTAACATAAAACATGCAAAAGAGGCACTTATTTGGAATTATTTATTAGTCTGCATTATATACTTCACAGCATCATGAATGTTCTTATTTTTTAAATGTAGGACTAGTTAGTGTCAATTACTACTATTAGTACAAATAATTAACAAACTATAGAAATAATCCCTGAAAGTATAGTCTTAATTATTAGTACAAATAAATAAGCAGATGTTTGAAAAAAATTACGTTTTGAATAAAGTTATTATTTTAAATTAGTTTTAGATTCACACAGAAATTAGAAAGAAGAATGCAGATTTCCCCTGTAGCTGCAACCTAGTTTTCCCTCTTATTAACATATTAGTATGTATCAGATGTCTTCTTAACATCTTACATCATTTGTTACCATTAATGACCAGATATTAATATGTTATTACTAAATAAGCCCACGTTTTATTTGGTTTCCCTCAGTTCTATCTTTTTCTATTCTGGGATCCCATCTCAGATCCTACAGGACATTTAGTTGTCATGTCAGGCTCTTCTTGCCTATGATTGTTTCTCAGACTTTCCTTCTGATAGCCTTGACAGTGTAAGAAAGACTGGTCAGGTATTGTGTAGAAAATATCTCATTGTGGTTTACTTGGTATTTTTCTCATAATTATACTGGGGTTACGGGTTTGGGGGAAGCAGATCAGATGTGTAGTGCTATTCTAGTCTCTTCATGCTCTCAAGATGCATTATCACCATTAATGTTAATTTTGATCACCTGGCTGAGGTAGTGTTTTTAGGTTTCTCACTGTGAAGTTACTTTTTCCCCATGTCCATACTGTATGTATTCTTTTGGAGGAAATAAGCATGCAGAGCCCACACTTAAGGAGTAGGGAGTTAGCTCTACTTCCTTGATGGCTGAGTATCTACATTAGGTATTTGGAATTCTTCTGTATAAGATATTTCTATTTGGCCAATTTGCATATTTATTTAATCATTTATTTAGACCAGTATGGACAACCAGACAGTTACTTCAATCTTTTGGTTATTATCCAATTGTACAGTATTTTGTTGCTTTGATTTCCTACCTGTGGCCATTGGGAGATCTTTCTATTGGCTCCTGTTTTCCTTTGACATAACTGCATGTTTTGTTTTGTTTTGTTTTAACAATTTCTTTCTGACACTTCAAGAGTATCCTGGCTCATATATTTACTGTCTCAGCCCTAGTTTAGCTATTTCTTCCAAGAGCACTGATTTCCCTTATTAGAGAATGGTTTTAAAAACTTATATCTGGCAGCTAAATATGCTCATTGCATCTTGTCCCTCACAGCTGACAATGCAAGGAAATATATATGTGTGTGTTCTAACCTACATATACATGCCTAATTATAAAGATTTCTATGTGGATCCATCTGTGTATATATTAAGCTACATGTGAGTTTATACTGATATCTCCAATCAATGGACTCTGATCCATTATCACAAGAATTATTCTAGCCTCCCCTGCCTTTCTTGTCTGTAAATTCTCACTCTGACAGCAAGGAATTAGCTTCTACCATCTGCCATTTATTTAATCCCTTGTTCCAGTATAAACACCGAATTTATTGTTGTTGATTCAAATTATAAGTTGTGATTTAATAATAAATATATGTTTGGTCTCTGTCTCTATTTCCTGGTACAGAGCTCCCAAAACCCTTACAATTTCTTGAGTGATAGGGGTGCTAGGAGCATTTTTTGTTCTCATATTTGGTCTTTGACCCTGGTTTCTGACACAGAGTTTCCAAATGCCTTAAAAATCTCTCAGGTAATAGGAATGTCTTTTGCTCTGCTCCTGGATGGCTTCAGGATGGGGCGTGGTCACCAGAAATACCAAGCCATGATTAGAAGCTTGTAACTTTCAGCTTCATATCCTATCCTCTGAGGGGAAAGGGGGCTGGAGATTGAGTTAATAATCAATCATGCCTATGTGATAAAGCCTCCATAAAAATCCCTGAAAGAGGTGGGAGGATCACTTCAGGCCAGGAATTTGAGGCCTGCCTAGGCAACACAGTGAGACTCCATCTCTACAGAAAATAAGAGAGTTGGGTGTGGTAGTGTGTGCACGTAGTCCTAGCTACTTGGGAAACTAAGGCAGAAGGATTGCTTGAGGGCGGGAGTTCAAGGTTGCAGTAAGCTATAATTGTACCCCTGCACTCCAGGCTTGGGATAGAGCGAGACTTTGTCTCTTAAAAAATCCTAAAAGATAGGGTTTAAAGAGTTTCTAAATTGTTAAATACATCCATGTGCAGGGAGCATGGCAAACCCCAACTCCATGAGGACAGAGCTTCCGCACTTCCAAACTTTGCTTTGTGTACCCCCTTATCTGGCTGTTCATGTGTTTTCTTTACCATGTCCTTTATAATGAACTGGGGTCTTAGTCCTTTCAGGTTGCTATAAAAAAATACCATAGACTGGGTAACTTTTAAACAACATAAATTTGTTGCATATAATTCTGGAGCCTGGAAAGTCCAAGATCAAGGCACTGGAAGATTCCATGTCTGGTGAGGGCTCGTCTCTCAGAGATAGTACCTTCTAGCCATGTCCTCACATGGCAGAATAGAGAAACAGGCTCCCTACAGACTCTTTTATAAGGGCACTTGTGCCATTCATGAGGGCAGAGCCTTGATTATTGGGGAAATCTGTCCCCAGTATTTCAGTGTAGGTTCTTTCTGTCTTTCATAAGTGTCGGCCGGCTGAGAAATAAAGACAGACAGTACAAAGAGAGGAATTTTACAGCTGGGCTGCCGGGGGTGACATCACATATCAGTAGGACCATGATGTCCACCTAAGTCTCAGACCAGCAAGTTTTTATTAAGGGTTTCAGAAAGGGAGGGAGTGTAAGAACAGGGAGTAGGTACAAAGATCACATGCTTCAAAAGGCAAAAAGCAGTGCTGCTAGTAAGGGTCTAACAAAGATCACATGCTTCTGAGGGAACAGGACAAAGGGCAAAAGCAGAACTACTAATAAGGGTCTATGTTCAGCAGTGCACATATTGTCTTGATAAACATCTTAAATAACAGAAAACAGGGTTCAAGAGCAGAGAACCGGTCTGACCACAAATTTACCAGGGTGAAGTTTCTCCCCACCCTAGTAAGCCTGAGGGTACTGCAGGAAACCAGGGTGTATCTCAGTCCTTATCTCAACTGCATAAGACATACATTCCCAGAGCGGCCATTTATAGACCTCCCCCCAGGAATGCATTCCTTTCCCAGGGTATTGATATTAATATTCCTTGCTAGGAAAAGAATTTAGTGGTATCTCTCCTACTTGACGCGTCCATTTATAGGCTCTCTGCAAGAAGAAAAATATGGCTCTTTTTGCCTGACCCTGCAGGCAGTCAGACCTTATGGTTGTCTTCCCTTGTTCCCTAAAAATCGCTGTTATTCTGTTCTTTTTCAAGGTGCACTGATTTCATATCATTAAAACACACATGTTTTACAATCAATTTATACAGTCAACACAATTATCACAGTGGTCCTGAGGTGACATACATCCTCAGCTTATGAAGATAACAGGATTAAGAGATTAAAGTAAAGACAGGCATAAGAAATTATAAAAGCATTATTTGGGAACTGATAAATGTCCATGAAATCTTCACAATTTATGTTCCTCTGCCACAGCTCCAGCCAGTCCCTCTGTTTGGGGTCTCTGACTTCCCACAACACTTGACAATGAATTACCTGTTTAAACCATCCTCTTGGAGGTTAGGTTTCAACATATGAATTTTGGGGGGACACCAACATTGAGATCATATTAACCAGTAAACATAAGTAAATGTTTCCCTGAGTTCTATGAGCCATCATAGCAAATTATCAATCCTGAGGAGGAGGTGTGGGACTGTTCAATTTGCAGCTAAGTCATACAGAAGTATGAGTAAACTGGGGATTTACTAGTTGTGATTGGCATCTGAAGTGGGGGGGGCAGTCTGGTGTTACTGAGCCCTTAAACTATTAGGTATGTAATAACTCCAGTTAGTTCATGTCATAATTGAACTATATAACACCCAGCTGGTGTCCAGAAAGTTGGAGAATTGGTTGATATGGGAAAATCCCTCATATATTTGGTGTCAGAAGTGAAGTATTGAGAGTATAGATGAAAAACAGGTTTTTTTTTCTTTTTACAGATATACTGGTTTCAAAATTGACTATTACCCCTGGGGGAGAGAACTTTATAAAATAGAGACCACTATTTATATTCAGTATATTCTGCTTTTAGACTATAGATTCTACTCATTTCCAAAGTGACTTAGGTTAGCACTTTCTGCCCATCACCTGCAGTGAGTTTTTCCATAAATTTGTAATACAGTTAGATTCCTGATCCCATTCTATATTTTATCCTTGGATACTACTGCACCCTAAATGTTTGATTTAATTTGTATAGCTTGTGATTTATTCTTTGGGCTGTAAAACTATATCAGTTTTATAAAATGCATAGTGTCAGGTATCCACCATTGAAGTACCTTCAAATACCCACCCTATGTAACCACTGATTCGTTTATCTCTGTAATTTTGCCTTTCCCAAAATATGATATAAAATGGGGTGAAATGGTGGGTAGCCTCTTCAGACTGGCTTCCTTCACTTAGCAGTATACATGCAAGATTTACCCATGTCTTCGCATGCGTAGATAGTTTATTCCTTTCTATTTATGAATGGTACTCCATTGCATAGATGCACCCCAATTTGATCATGCATTCAGCTATTGAAGGAAATTCTGATTACATTTTGACCATTATGAATAGAACTGCTGTACATAATTACATGCTGGTATATGTTTGAACATAACTTTTCAAAGCAGTTGTCTAAATACAGGCAATTTAGGAGTGCAATTGTCAGATTATAAGGTGAGAGTTGTTCAGCTTTGGAAAAAAAAACGCGAAAGTGTCTTCTGAAGTGACTGTACCATTATGCGTTCTACCAGCCAATGAATGACAGCTCCTATTGTTCTTCAGCCTCCAGCAAGTGGTTTATCAGGGCTCTTTTAGAGTTCAGCAGTTCTAAAGGGTGTGCAGCTATCTCATTGTTGTTTTAATTTACAATTTCCTAATGATATGTTGAGCACCCTTTTGTATGATTATTTGCTATCTTTATATTTTATTTGGTCAGGTGTCCATTTAGCTATTTACTCATTTTAATTGGGTTTTTAGTTATCTTATTGCTTCTTTTTAAGAGTTCTTTTTGTGTTATCATTATTTTTAGAGACAGTGTCTTGTTATATTGCTCGGACTGGTCTCAAACTACTAGCTTCAAGCCATCCTCTTGCCTCAGCCTCCCAAGTAACTGGGATTGCAGGCATGAGCCACCCCACCCAACATCTTTTTATATTTTTAATACAATTGTTTTTACCAGATATGTATTTTGTAAATACTTTCTCCCAGTCTGTGTCTTGTCTTTGTTCTCTGAATAGGCTCTTTCTCAGAGTTGAAAATTTAGTTTTATAAAGTCTGTGTTATCAGTATTTTTTCTTTTGTGATGTGGCTTTTGGTATTATGTGTTAAACCTCAGCACCAAATCCAAGGTTGCACAGGCTTTCTTCTAGAATGTTTATAGTTTTGCATTTCAAATTTCAGCCTATGGATGATTGTGAGTGAATTTTTGCATAATTTTAGTTTGCATGTACATTATTTTCATTCCATATGGTTTCTAAATAATTGTTCCATCACTATTTTTGAAAAATACACGGGATAGTGAATTTCCAAAATAATCGCACTGAGTAAATGAATGCTGAATTGTATTGATTTTTCAAGAGAGCCAAGAGGGGGCACACGTCCACCGATAAACTGTGAGCAAGAGCGTCCTGTGCTGAGTCCTGACAGCCACCAGATGGCATGTGAACCCGCCTCTTCTGACCATCTCCCCTCAGATGGTGGGAGCAGGGAGACAAGAACTTCATTTTCCTCAAGGCTCCAGGATGGAGATCTAAACTTGATACTGTTCAGTGGTGAATTAAAAGCTTCTGTCCACAACTCGGAGTGTAGCGGAGATTCTGATTCAGAGGATTCTGCACAGGAAGGGTTCATGTAGAAAAATATAACCCCAAAATCCCACTGTTGCCATTGCACCCTGAGATCATTCTCAACATCCAAGACATAGTGGCTACAATATATATTCACACAATGGCCTCTAGTAGTTAGTATCCACTCAGTGGCCCCTACTACTGATGGAATCATGTCCACACAGTGGCCACTAATGAAATTCACACTCTTTTGAGAATTATTGGTTTCACAGCTTTGGCTGAAATGGAGCCTCTATAATGAAGTTTGATGTCATCTCTACTTTCCTGGTATGGTATTGATATGGTTGTTTTATAAAGTAATTTACTTTCCAGTAAATTCATACTTATAGGAAACATGCAATGGCAGTACAAAATACCTTTTATCCTTTCTCTCAGATTCCCCAGTGGTCACTCCAGTACCAGATTTGCAACTTCACACAAAATACTCTACTGTATTTTACTCAAAGCAGGGACACTCTCCCAGGTAACCACCACATAACCTCCAAATCAGGAAATCAATATGGTTTCTACCTGACAATCCAATCAGCTGACCCAGTTCACTTTACTGCCTGTGCTGACTGTGAGAAAAATGTCTCTTTCCCTTTGGATCCAGTTTTCTTTTCCTGGAACTGTTCCTGTGACTATCTCTCAGTTTCACAACCTTGGCAGATTTAAATAATAGAGATGAATCCAAGCTGCCTCTGTCATAGTTTTGCCAATGCACCACAACATAGAAGTTTCTCTTTGCCTGAGGTAGTACCTGGAGTTCTTTGTCTCATGACCAAGAAAGTTAAGGAGTGCAGACACAAAGGGTGAGGTTGGAGTGAAAGTTTAATAAGCCAAAGATGAAAGCTCTCCACTACGGAGAGGGGACCCAGAAGAGGGTTGCTGTTTTTACAGTTGAATGCAAAGGCTTTTATAAGAAACAGATGAGGTCTTGGTATCTCATTTGCATAAGGCATGAATTTCTGGTGGCGCCACCCCATCTTTCTAGTGCACATGCGGGCTCTTATCTTGAGTTCACTACCTAATTGCTTTGTTCCCCCTTACTGTGCATGTGTCAGGGGACAGAATTTTCCATTGTGGGCATGTCTGGGCAAGTCACCTGTGTAGCTTTTCTTATCTGGTGTGCTGTAGCCATGTCTTAGGCAAGTCCCCTTGTGCATGTTCCTTATCTGTGCCTGCAGGCTGTTCTTTTGTTTGAAAGGATTCATCTGAGCACCCACCCTAACTGCTGCCTGACCGGGTTTTTTCCTTTCTCCTCTCTCACTTCTGCCCCCTGTTTCCTCCTGAGCAGTTGCAAACACTGCACTCCTCAGTACAGCCCACCAGGAGGAACACAGAGCCACCCACCCACCACAGGTGATCTCAACTTGATAATGGCAAAATACACACATAAATCTCATCCTGTCACTCTCCTGATTTAATGTTCCTAATGGGTTTCCACTGGCCTTAGAACAAGGTCCATATGGCTTTTCATGGTCTACTGGCCCATGAGTGCTCCTGCCTGCTCCCCTCTCCCATTCAGTCAGCCCCAATTACCTGCAGTCCAATTTGCTTTCAATTACAGGGACATAGCAGGCTTGTGGGTGTCTCAGGAATTTTATGCATGTTCTCTTAACCCATGCACCCAGCGCCCCCAACCTTATCAAATTTTCTAAGACTTTGTCCGGCTAATTCTGTTGTAGTATGACAAGCCACAGACAAAACCCCTCAGACACCGACTTAAAGAAGGAAGTGGTTTATTTGGTCGGGAGCATTGGCAAGACTCTTGCCTCAAGAGCTGAGCTCCCCAAGTGAGCAATTCCTGTCCCTTTTAAGGGCTCACAACTCTAAGGGGGTGCACATGAGAGGGTCGTGATCAATTGAGCAAGCAGGGATAGGTGACTGGGGGCTGCATGCACTGGTAATTAGATCAGAACAAAACAGGACAGGGATTTTCACAATGCTTTTCTATACAATGTCTGTAATCTATAGATAACATAACCAATTAGGTTAGGGGTCGATCTTTAACTACCAGGTCCAGGGTGTGGTGCCGGGCTGTCTGCTTGTGGATTTTATTTCTGCCTTTTAGTTTTTACTTCTTCTTTCTTTTGATACAGAAATTGGGCATAAGACAATATGAGGGGTGGTCTCCTCCCTTATTCCCCCCCCACTTTGAGAATCTCACTCAACAGTGGGAGTTCTCACTTTTATTCTCCTTACCCATGTCTTCTTGCAAGACAGATCAATAGTGATTCATATAGTACACTTGTGCTGAAGCATTTTGGTGAACTAAGGTAGCAATGAAGCTTTGTATCATTTGAAGAAGTACAGGTAGCAAACAAGGGAGCAGTAAGCAGGTTCCTATTACTATTATAACTCTTATTATAAGAGGTTTAAATCCTTCTAGCGCTGGGAACCATTTTCCAAACATGGCTGCAGGATCAAATCCATGCCACACTTGCACGGGCACATGTGCCAGTTTTGTCATATCTCTAACTATGTCTTCCACTACTTGCCCTTGATCATCTATGTGTAGACAGCAATTAGTAAGGTTAAATTTCCCACACACCCCTCCTTCAGCTGCTAGCAAGTAGTCGAGAGCCAATCTATTTTGATAGATAGCATTTCTCATCTGAGTTTCTTGCTGGGCCAGTATAGTCAAGGCTCTGCCTGTTTTATTAGTGATTATTTCTAAGACAGCTTGTAACCGTGTGATTCAGTTGATCATGTAAATGGGGGTCCAGTATCCCCATGAGCTGTCTTGTGCCTAAGTAGCAGGCCCATAATATTGTATGATTCTCTCAGGGGGCCATTCATCATCTTTCCAATTTCTTATAGCTATGCTTCTCTTTTTGCAGGAAGCATACACAGGGAAGCCCAGGAGTTCACCTGTTTTTGTGGGCAGTGGGAAGAAAGATGGTCTAATAGTGCCAATAACACAACTACCTGCCCACTGGTCGGGTAATTTGGCGTAACTCTATGCTCCCATATCCAGTATAATCCAGTGGGGGCTGTCCACTCCCGGTGGGACTCCAGGTGAGTCCACCCATTTTGCAACTTTGGGAATTTACTAAATGGATTCCTTTCTGTGTGATTTGAACTGCACCAAGTGACTGTTTTTGTGGTACCATTATACAGTTTCTGTCCTAGACAACTAAGTAGCCCTACGGGGTGAGTGAATTCTTTTCTTTCTCTAGCTATGCAATATTGTCCAATAATTGAGGCTTTTAGGACGCAGAAATTATCAGGGTGATTCTTTTCAGCCAGGAATTCATCAGGAACTCGTCTGTAGCTACTAATTCTCGGGCTTCTCATGGCCATTGATCTCCCATTACAGTTCCTCCACATACATAACATGAAGTGACATTGAGAGACTGGGCTACATGCTCGGCTAATTGCAAAAACAAATTTCTTGTTTTTCCTGGAATTTCTGGTACTGGCACATTTAATTCATCATAGAAAGTTGGAAACACTGGCTCAGGAGAGCGTCTGTAAACTTCTCCTCGAACTAAGATATTTACTCAAGGATCCAGTCTGGCCCCATCGATTTCTAAGGTCACACGCTCCCCTTTTTTCCAGTGAGGATCAAGGGGGTTGGTTATTACTAGCTCTAAGGGGTTACAATGTCCCTTAGTACAGGAAGGGCCATTTTTTCCTTTCTGAAGGTGGACTGGATCCTTTTCATTTTTTATCTAAGTGGCCCAAATGACACAAGACGAGCATCCACATTCATTTCTACACAGTCTTAATTCATGACAAATGTACTTATTTTCAGTAATATCACCTTTTTCCTAACTAAAAAAGCCGCATCCCCTTCCTAACTTATTGCTATTAATGACAGCACAGGCATCAAATTTCAAGATTATGTGTTTGGGCACCCCTTTTTCTTCTGTTCTGGCTAATACTTTACTAGTATCATTTATGAGTCCCCACCAGTCTTCAGTCCTTAATCTTATTTCAAAAACTGTCCACATGGGAAGCTCAGAGGGGTCATAACACACATCTGGTCAGTCGTTTTCTGGGCTACATACCTTGTACTGAGTGTCATTATATAAACATGTTCCTTTTAAAGTTCCTAGGCATTCATAGTAACTATAGAACAGAAAGATTGTTTTAACTTGCTGCCCTACCTCGGTAACCTCATGTATACACTGAGAGCAGTCTCCATGTGGAGAAAATCAGTGGAAATTTTTACTATACAAGTCCAAATTATAAGGAAAATGAGTCCCATGATGATCTTCCTCATGCTTCAGCCACGTAGACCAGTCAGCTTCCGGGTGTGACTGGAACAGGGCTTGTTGTCCTCCTCAGAGTCACTTTGCAGGGTTTGTCTGGGCTCGGTTTTGCCTCCCAGGTTTCAGTGGCTGCAGGTTTCACACGGCTGTGGTGGATCCAGGCTGGGATTCCTTCTACCTTTACAGCCATGGAGGTGGTCAGGAAGATGGTCTGAGGTCCTTTCCACCGTGGCCGCAAAGGGGCTACGTTCCAGTCCTTTATCCACACAAGACCACCTGGGGAGAAAGTATGAATTGGGGCGAATAAGCTGATGGGACACCTCTCATTTACCCAAGTTGAGATTGTTTGTGTAATTTTTCCTAAAGCCTGTAGCTGTCGCTGTAATTCAATTCCACCTAACTCTCAGGGAGTGCCTGGAAGCTCCCATAATATAGGAGGAGGCCTATGATACAGTATATCATAAGGGGAGTATCCTGTTTTCTTAGAAGGAGTGCATCTAATTTTAAACAATACCATAGGAAGGGCCTGTATGCACTTTAATCCTGTTTCCTGACATACTTTCCCTATTTTTGATAGTATAATTCATTCGCTCCACCTTTCCGGAACTTTGAGGTCAGTAGGCGGCATGTAGCTTCCAAGTGATTCCTAATGCCTTTGCTGTCTTCTGTACCAAGTCAGCCACAAATGCTGGCCCATTATCTGAGCCGATTCATAAGGGCAGTCCAAACCTAGGAATAAGATCTCAGAGAAGCACACGGGTTACCTCGTAGGCCTTTTCAGTTCGTGTTGGATAAGCCTCCACCCACCCAGAGTAAGTACACACAAGAACCAGCAAATACTTGTTACCTCCACATTTTGGCATTTCTGTGAACTCCACCTGAAGATCCTCAAAAGGAGCCACTCCATAAGCTTGTATGCCGGGCGGAACAGTGGGGCCTTGCCTATCAATGTGCTGTGGGCAAGTAACGCACCATTGTGCTACTGCTTTGGCAAGGGCTGGCAAGTGTGAGACGTAGAAGTACTGCCCTAACAATTTTTCAAGTGACTCTTGTGCTAGATGAGTGGTTTCATGCATGGCCAATACGATTGTGGCTCCCAGCAACTGAGGCACAGCTACCCTCCCATCTGGCAGTCTGATCCATCCTCCTTTTTTTTACTTGCCCCCTTTCTGAGTGGAAGAAGTCTTTCTTCCTTAGAATAGGTAGGTACCAGGTCAGGTGTTTGAGGGAGTAAGGGGGTTGCTACCGATGCCCAGTAAGGGGTAGATGCTGCTTTTCAAGCTTCTGAGTCAGCTCGAGAGTTTCCTAAGGCCACTGAGGTGGAAGCTCGCTGGTGTCCCCTGCAGTGCATGACTGCCACCTTCTGAGGTTTCCACACTGCCTCTAATAATTGTAGAACTTCTTGTTGATATTTTATGTCCTTTCCCCTAGAGTTTAACAGGCCCTTTTACTTATATAATGCTCCATGCACTTGAAGGATTAGAAAGGCATATCAAGAGTCAGTGTAGATGTTTACAGTCTTACCTTCACTGAGTTCTAGAGCCCGAGTTAAAGCAATGAGCTCAGCCTTCTGGGCTGAAGTGCCTGTGGCAATGGTTTGGCTTCAATGGACAGCATCCAAAGTTACCACCGCATATCCTGCACATCTTTCTCCATGTGGATTGTGAAGTTGCTCCCGTCCATGTATAACTCCCAGTCTGCTGATGCCCATGGCTGGTCCCGAAGGTCAGGTCTGCTAGGATAAACTGAGTCCAACACTTCTACACAGTTATGCTTGACCGGGCTCTCTGATACTGGGAGCAGGGTGGCGGGATTTAGGGTGTTACGGACTTCAATGGTTATGCGGGGATTTTCACATAGCAAGCTTTGGTACTTGGTTAATCTAGCATTTGTTAGCCAATGATGTCCTTTGCTATTCATCAAAGTTACCACAGCATGGAGGGCCTTTATATTCAGGTTTTGCCCAAGGGTTAGTTTATCTGCTTCTTGTGCTCACAGGGCTGTTGCTGCCAGGGCCCTTAGACATGGTGGCCAGACTTTGGAAACCTCATCTAGTTGTTTTGAGAGATAGGCCACTGGCCTTGGCTGGGGCCCCACAGTCTGGGTTAAAACTCCAACTGCCATTTTTTCTCTTTCTGACACATAGAGTGTAAAGGGCTTTGTCAAATCTGGTAGTCCTAGGACTGGGGCCGACATAAGTTTTTCCTTTAACTTACAAAAGGCTTGCTGTTGTAGAGGCCCCCATTCAAAAGGCTCCCGGTCGCCCCCATTTGTAACCCTGTAGAAAGGTTTGGCTAGTACTGCAAAGTTTGGAATCCATAATCTGCAAAACCCCACAGCTCCTAGGAATTCCCTTACTTGCCTTCTGGTTTTAGGTTCCAGTAGGCTGCAGATGACCTGCTTTCTTTCTGACCCCAGGCTGCACTCCCCTTTCTGAACAGTAAATCCCAGGTAGCTTACCTGCTGTCTGCAGATCTGAGCTTTCTTCTTGGACACCTTATACCCACAGTCCTCCAGGTGCTGAAGCAGGGCATCCGTCCCTTTTGCACACCCAACTGCCATGGAGTGTCCCAGCAGAAGGTAGTCCACATACAGGAGCAAGACACAGCCTAGGTCTTTAGCAGGAAACTTTTGCAGGTCTTAAGCCAGGGCCTCCCCAAAGATAGTAGGGGAGATCTTGAACCCTTGGGGAAGCCAGGTCCAAGTGTACTGAGTAGTGACACCTGACTCCGGATCTTCCCACTGAAAGGCAAACAGCTTCTGGCTCTCAGGAGCTATTTTGATGCTAAAGATGGCATCTTTTAAGTCCAGACAGGTAAACCAGCTGTCCTCAGCCGGCAGCAGCCCTAACAATGTGTAAGGGTTAGGAACTGTTGGGTGCAGAGTCACTGTAGCTTGGTTGACCAAGCGCAAGTCCTGTACGATCGATAGTCCTTGGTCCCTTGGCTTAGGGACCAGGGAGGAGGGGGTGTTCCCATGGAGACTGGCAAGGAACTATAATTCCAAACGCTTTCAAGCGCCTGAGATGAACCTGGATTCCTTTGAGAGCTTCTCTGGGAACTGGATACTGCTTTTGTCTAATTGGTTGGGCCCCAGGCTTAACTTCTATGTGTACAGGGGCTTGGTTGACCACCAGTCCCGGAGGATTATCCTCTGCCCATACTTGGGGCCATCGCTTAGCTAGAGCTGGTTTTATCTCTTGGCCTGGCTCAGTTAGAAAAAGTCTCCATTCTTCTTCCTGGGGGACCATAAGGGCCATGATAACTCCTGTTCCTGGTAACTTTAGCTGTAAAGAGCCCTGTTTGTAAAGGAGATGTTGGCTGTCAGCTTGCTAAGCAAGCCTTTTCCCAGCAAGGGCACGGGACAGTCAGGCATGTAAAAGAACTGGTGAACTATCTCAGGTCCCCGCACCGAGCAGGTCTGTGGTAGACAGAAAGTGTGCTTAGTGGAAACTCCTGTTGCTCCGATTATATCAATGATTTTCTTGGATAAGGGGGTGACTGGGGTGGTCACTACTGAATGTTCAGCACCAGTATCAACCAAAAATTTAATGTCCTTGCCCCCAGTTGTAATCCTGACCATGGGCTCTTTGGGGGCGCTTGAGCCCGGTCCCCTTCCATCCAGTAGCCCTTCAGCCAGATTGAACAAAGCTCCCTCATCTTTATCTGAGGTCTTTTGTTGTGAATCACCTTGCTTTTCCTTCAGTTGGGAACAATTATCTTTCCAATGTCCTATTTCCTTACAATAGGCGCACTGGTTACGTTGCAAGAGTGTGCCATTAGACTGGGTATTCTTCCTGGAACCCCCCTTTCCCTCTCCTTTCAGGGGAATTCCCCTAATGGCCGTGGCCAGTAAGTCGGCGTTTTGCCTGGCCTGGCGTTCGCCTTCCTTACAGCTTTCTCTGTGGCTTGTTGCATCTCTATTCACAAACACTTGATTGGTTATTTCCAGTAACTGTGAGGTATTCATATCCACAAACCCAGCCTGTTTCTGCAATTTTCTCCTGATATCTTCTGTGCTTTGACTAAGGCCATGTTAATCATGCGCTGATTTTCAGGGTTATCTGGATCAAAACGAATGTACATATGGTAAGCCTCACACAGTCTTTCATAGAATTGCACTGCACTTTCCTCTTTTCCTCGGTTGACCTTAGAGACCTTATTTACATTTGTAGCCTTTTGAGCCCCTTTCTTTAGACCTTCTATTAATGCCTCATGGTACCGTCTTAGCCTCTCCATGTCTGGTCCCTCATTCGGGTCCCATTAGGGGTCTGTTCCTGGCAGCTGAATTCTTATATATTCTTGGGGGTTTTGGTAATCGGCTGGGATGTGCTCCTCTAGCCACTTAGTTGCCGCCTGGAGTACCCTTCGCCTTTAATCTGTATTAAAGAGGTACATGAGCAGCTGGTGGCAATCAGCCCAAGTAGGATTATGAGTCTGTATAATAGTTTGGAGCAAGTCAATTAAAGCTTGAGGCTTTTCGGTATAAGATGGAGTATTATTTTTCCAATTGAGGAGGTCAGCAGGGGTGAAAGGTTGATACACAAAGGCACGCCTTTCCACCATGTGTCCCTCCTCATCTATCCCAGTATATCGCTGCTCTCTCAGGGGCATTTGGATTCCAGTCTTGGGCTGTAAGCGAGCTGCCATGGGAGGAGTTTCTCCCGCGGCTTCATTTCCTCTTTTGTCTACTCTGGGTGGTCTAGGGGTGTGGTTATCTGGTGGAGGTGTAGGTGCTGTGGGCTCAGGGGTGGGGAGCCCTTCCTCTCGATAAGGAGGGGGTACTGCTGGTACCAATTCCTGCCATGATTCTTCTAGTGTTGGGTCGGACAGGACTTCTGGTGCTGACTTCCCTCAGCAGGTGGAGCGTGAACCTTCCTTAACTAACTGCCCGTTTGCTACTAGTACTGCTGCTGCCTGTCCTCTTAACCACTGTCGGGGGTCCAAAACTAGCTGTAAGCAAGAATCTATATATGGGAACTTATCTGAGTGCCCTGACTTACAGGTTACCCTCTGCCATACCTTCAAGACAAGGGACCTGTCCAGGCTTCCTTCTGATGGCCAACCCACCTCTAAATTTTCCTGGTGTCATGTTGACTCCATAGTCTCCTTTAAATCCCTTTTTGAAATTTTTCAACATAGTTCCTAGTGGGGTGGGCTTACTTTGTGCCTGATCCATGTTTTCTCAAGACAAAACACCACGCTCACACTACACGCACACCACAAAACAAAGAACAGGTAAAAAGGGCACACACACACTTTTACAGTTTACACCAAACCAGAATCAAAACCAAAATCAGAGTATCAAGAAATCCAAGCCAGGTCAAAACCAAAACCAAAGTATCAAGCAATCCAAGTCAAGTCAAAAACAAAAAAACCAAAGTGCTGGCGGGGGCACGCTGTGGGTGATCAGGCCACATTTCCACTAAAATGGGGTAGGCAAGTTCCAAAGACTAGTGTTACCAAGTTTCAGATGTCTAGACTCCAAGTGCCAGTTCCTTCCCAGTGTTCAGCCACTGCATTGATCCTCCATGGGGGCCTGCCACATGCTGCTCTGGCGAGGCATTCCACCAGGGCAATTGCCTACCCGGGAGCGCTCTCAGGATCTGTGTTGCTCAAGCTGGCTGGAGTCCCCGGCAGGGATGCTCCACAGGGCAGGCCTAAGCCACCTAAGGGGCTGCCTTGACCATCCATTAATCACCTCACTTCCCAGTCAGGGAACCAAGAAATGTAGCAGGACAAGCCGCAGACAAAACCCCTCAGACATCGAGTTAAAGAAGGAAACAGTTTATTCGGCCAGGAGCATCAGCAAGACTTCTGTCTCAAGAGCCGAGCTCCCCAAGTGAGCAATTCCTGTCCCTTTTAAGGGCTCACAACTCTAACGGGGTACATGTGAGAGGGTCATGATCAATTGAGCAAGCAGGGAGTACGTGACTGGGGGCTGCATGCACCAGTAATTAGCAGTTGCAAGGGATTTCAGGCTTAAACACTTATGTTTATGTAATCAAAAGGTACAGTTAACTGACAAAAGTGCTAGTGTATATCTTGACAACCTACAGAAATATTTGCAAATATATTTCTCTATACAATGGACAATTAGTAAAGTAAGCTTAGATATTTAAGCAGATGAATTATTAATATTTGTCTTCTAATCCATAAACATGGAGTGTCTTTACATTTACTTAGGGTTTCTTGAATTTATTTCAGCAATATTTTGTAATTTTCCATGTCTAAGTCTTGAATATTTGTTAAATTTATTCTTAAAACATTATTACTGTTGATTTTTTTTTGTTTTTTTGAGACAGGGCCTTATTCTGTTGCCCAGGTAGGGTGTGGTAGGGTGATCATAGCTCACTGCAGCTTCAAACTCCTTGGCTCCAGTAATCCTCCCACCTTGGCCTCCCAAAGTACTGGGGTTAAAGATATAAGCCACCACACCCAACCTTTTTTTTTTGCTTTCTGTTTTGAAAATTCCAAAGGATGCTTTATAGTCAATGAAAATATAGTACTTTGAATTGCCCAAAAGAGGCATAATGCATAAAAACTCTAAAGTGTAATAGTGACTCGCTGACCATCTGGCTACCAGTTAGTTACCTCTTCAAGTTGTACCTAATAACCTCCAGAATTGCTTTTAAATAAACTTCTTAAATTGTAGCAATAAAAATGACAGGACACATTTAAAAAATAACTGAAAGCTTATCCAAAGGACATAAGAAATTTCCAACTCTTCTTTCCCCCCCCTCTTTTAATTTTTTTAAGACAGGGTCTCACTCTGTTGCTCAGGCTTGAGTGCAGTGGTGCCATCACGGCTGACTGCAGCCTCTAATTCCTGGGCTCAATCAATCCTCCTGTCTTAGCCTCAGCCACCATACCCGGCTAATTTTTTTGTATTTTTTGTAGAAACGAGGATTTGCTATGTTGTCCGGGCTGGTCTCAAACTCCTGGGCTCAAGAAATCCACCTGCCTTGGCCTCCCAAAGTGCTGGGATTACAGGCATGAGCCACCACACCCAGCCTCAACACTTATTTCTGGAATGTTATACAAATCAATTTTTTGGCTAAGTTATGAATATGTTTATAATGCAATTATTTGCATAACTCTAGTAATGCTATGGACAGCTATAAGATCGAAATAGTTTTCTAAAGAAAATACTAAATACATAAAAACACTTATCCCCATTATTTACTTGTAGAACACGTTCATTTATGACTAATTTTCAGCAGCATTATGTCATCATTGCTCTGATTTTAAAAGTCATATCCAAAGGATAAGGCAAAACCACCTATGAATTGACATATTTGTTTATCTCTCAGTTTGTGAAAATGTCCTTAATTTGTTGATGTTGCAAACAGATTTCAACTCTGCCATGCAAAAAACAGAAGACAATCTTCTTTGCAATGAATTTTGTAGCTCCATTGCATACAAGGAACATGCTATATATGAAACAAAATAGTAACTCAAGTACAGGTCTTAAACACTGAAAGAACTAACAGTTTATTACAATTTATTTTATTAACAATCTAGGAAGTTCACAGCCTCAGCAGTTCTAGTGTCATTTCAGGTGAAATGGGAATTTAAGAATCTCTGTGGAGCTGTAGGTATAGCGAAACTTTTAGGTAAAATACGTGCCTGCTTTTGGCAGCACTTGTGAAGAGATCTCTCTCAAATTGACCTAATTGGTTTCATTCTCAGCAAAATGACCTGGGCCACTCAACATGGGTTTCCTTCTTCCTGATGTTTGGGCGTGTTCTCTTTTTACAACATATTTATGATTCAGAAGATATTCATTTGACATCTTGGCATCAGGGCTTTCACAGCCAATGTACGTTTTCTCCTCTTCATCCATTATGTTCTTAAGGAATTCTACTTTGATTCTCTAGGAACTTCAGTTGTTTCTTGTCAGCCCTGCAGCCACTGCAGCCAAGTCCCCATGTAGCACCACAGCCCCTATTCCAAGGCCGTCCCCCACCCCAAGCTGCCTGCCCTGTGTGTTCCAGGGCAGTTGGAGGTATTCCAGCCTGTTAGTTTTCAGAAATGAAATTGTTGTCTTAATTTCATTTTCATATCGTTTATTGCTAGTATACAGAAATATATTTTTGTGTATTAATATTTTGTCCTGTAACTTTGCTTAATTTCTTTACTAGTTTTAACAATTTCTTGTTGGTTCCTTATGATTTTCTGTGTATGAGATCATGGGATCTGTGAGTAGGTAGTTTTACTTTTTTCTTTCACATATGAATGACTTTGTATATATATATATTTTTTTTTTTTTTTTCTAATTGTTCTGGATGGAACTTCTAGTACAGTGTTGAACACAATGATGAAAGTGAGCATCAGTGCTGTGTTCCTGATCTTAAAGCTTTGGGTGCCAACAATTCAGGTGGTGATTGTTATGGGTTTTGCATAAAGGTGTTTTATCATGTGAAGAAAATTCGAATCTTCAGCTTATTGGTGGTTTTTATCATTAAATACGTTGATTATCTTTAAGTACTTTCTGTAACAGTTGAGATAAACGTGTTTTTCCCATCATTTTAATTATATAGTATACGGAAAAGGAATGGCTTTAGTATGTTGAAAAACCTTTGATTTTCTGAAAAAAAAAAAAAAAAAAAAAAAAAGACCTCTTCATTGTGGTGTATAATGTTTTCGCTATGTACCAAATTCCACTTACTATGATTTGGTTAAACATTATTAAGTCTATCATTATGAGTTTTATTAACATTTAGTTTTTTTGTCCTGGTGATATCATATGTTTGAGTCAGTACTCGATTGGGGTTAGAAAAAGGTATGGCTTGGTGTACTATTTAGGGTATTAGTGGTTAGCAGTTAGAGGGTTAGAGGTTATACCAAAAAAAAAAAAAAAACCCAGAATTTTTGAAGGATTATGGGCTAAGGTTAAGTGTAGGATAGACGTTGGGGATTAGGGTTAAGGAGTTAGAATGTCAGAGCAAAGATTAGGCTTAGGGTGAGGGTTAGAATTAGAGATTATGGTTAGGGTTAGGGTTAGGGTTAAAGTTAGGGGTCAGGGTTGTGAAAGGAAAATATCTTGGGCCCCAAAATTACTAAGCTAAGGGATAAGTCAAGCTCGGAACTGCTCAGGACAAACCTGCCTCCCATTCTTTTCAAAGTCATCCCTCTGCTAACTGAGGTAGATGAATATTCTGATTGTCTCCTTTGGAAAGGCTTATCAGAAACTCAACAGAATGCAACCATTTTTCTCTCACCTACCTGTGACCTAGAAGCCCCTCCCTGCTTCAAGTTGTCCCTGCCTTTCCAGACGGAACCACTGTACTTCCTACATATATTGAATGATGTCTCTTGTCTCCCTAAAATGTATAAAACCAAGCTGTGCCCTGACCACCTTCAGCACATGTCATCAGGACTTTCTGAGGCTGTGTCAGGGGCCTGCATCCTCTACCTTGGCAAAATAAAATTTCTAAATTAACTGAGACCTGTCTCAGATTTTCTGGGTTTACAGGGTTTAGGGTTGGGATTTGGTTAGGTATTAGAGTTAGGGTTAGGGTTAGGGTTATAAGAACCCCTAAGGGCTTCATATAAAGGTTTTACAATTAATCTGAAAGAAAGAATCCATATTCTGCAAAACTTGGCCCTACCCAAAAAGGACTCAAGCTGTTATTTATTTACTGGAGTTGTCATGTGTAAAATAAGATCTTTACAAGTGCTAGAGAGGCTCTCTGTACCAGGGGTTAAAATACCCCCAAATTGAACCCTTTATGTGCATATTTGTTCCTTAGAAGGAGATACTTCATATCCACAATCAGCAATTTTATTCAGTACTCGTACTGTATTTTGCTCTAAAACAGCCTTGTTAGGACTACAGATTAGCAGGTCACCCACATACTGGAGTAGATTGCTATCTGGGAGAAGCTGCAGGGTGGACAGGTCTTTAGCTAAGTCCTGTCCAAAACAGTGGAGGCTATCTCTGAATTCCTAGGACAGAATAGTGCAAGTTAACTATTAAGTTATTTGAGTATCTAGGTCTTGCTATTCAAAAGCAAACAAAAATTGGCTATCTTGTGTACGGAATGCAGAAAAAGGCATCCTTAAGATCAAGTACAGTAAACCAAGCTGCAGTGGAGGAAATTTGTCCAAAAGAGACTAAGGGTTTGTGACAATAGGATGAATAGGAATAACAGCTTCATTAATAATTCTAAGGTCCTGTACTAGCTGGTAGGAGCCATCTGGTTTTTTTGCAGCAAAAATGGGAGTGCTGCAATGCAAGTTGCAAGGGCACAATAATCCATGGGTTAAACATTTTGTTATTAGGGGCTTTAACACTTTTTGGGCTTCTGGTTTCAAGGGGTATTGGCGGTTCTTGGGAACTTACTGGGATTTTTAAGCTGAATGATGATGGGAGCAGCTGATATTGAATGGCCAGAAATAGAAGTATTCCAGACCTCAAACGGCACTTGTTTTAGAATGTGAGGTTCTATAGACTGTAGCAGCTCTTTTAGTGAAGTGTGAGTTCATACAGTTAGAAAGTGGGGCCTTAGCTATAAATTGTCTTGTAATTTTGTGAGTAAGTCATGACCTAATAATGGAACAGGAGAGCTTGGCATGACTAAAAAGGAGTGGCTAAAGACATAACCTTCCCTTTTACAAGAGACTGGTGGTGTGAAACAGCCTCGTTGGGGTTTTCCATCAATACCTGATATAGTTTAGTCTCTGTGTCCCCACCCAAATCTCATGTCCAATTGTAATCCCCACATGTCAGGGGAGGGACCTAGTGAGGTGATTGGATCATGGGGGTGGATTTCCCCCATGTTTTTCTCATGATAATAAGTTCTCATGAGATCTGATGGCTTAAAAGTGTGGCACTTCCCTGTTCACTCTGTCTCTCTCCTGCCACCATGTAAGATGCCTTCTGCCATAATTGTAAGTTTCCTGAGATTTCCCCAGCCATGCACAACTGTGAGCCAATTAAGCCTCTTTTCTTTATAAATTACCCAGCCTCAGGTAGTTCCTTATAGCAGCATGAAAATGAACTAATACAGAAATTTGGTACCAGGAAAGTGGGGCACTGCTATAAAGATACCAGAAAATGTGGAAGTGACTTTGGGACTGGGTAACAGGCAGAGGTTGGAACAGTTTAGAGGGCTGAGAAGAGTACAGTAAGATGTGGGAATGTTTGGAACTTTAGAGACTTGTTGAATGGTTTTGACCAAAATGCTGATAGTGATATGGACAGTGAAGTTCAGGCTGACGTGGTCTCAGATGGAGATGACAAACTTATTGAGAACTGGAGCAAAGGTCATTCTTGCTATGCTTTAGCAAGAAGACTGGCAGCATTATGCCCCTGCTCTAAGGGATCCATGGAGCTTTCAACTTGAGAGACATGATTTAGGGTATCTGGTGGAAGAAATTTCTAAGCAGCAAAGCATTCAAGATGTTGCCTGGCTGCTACCAATGGCATACAGTCATATGCATTCACAAAGAGATGGTCTGAAATGGGAACTTATGTTTAAAAGGGAAGCAGAGCATAAAAGTTTGGAAAATTTGCAGCCTGAGCATGTGGTACAAAAGAAAAAGCCAGCCAGGCATGGTGGCTCACACCTGTAATCCCAGCACTTTGGGAGGCCGAGGCAGGTGGATCATTTGAGGTCAGGAGTTCAAGACCAGCCTGACCAACATTGTGAAACCCTGTTTCTACTAAAAATACAAAAATTAGCTGGGCATGTGGTACACGCCTGTAATCCCAGCTACTCGGGAAGCTAAGGCAGGAGAACTGCTTGAACCTGGGAGGCAGAGGTTGCAGTGAGCTGAGATTGTGCCACTGCACTCCAGCCTGGGTGACAGAGCACGACTCCATCTAAAAATAAATAAATAAATAAAAAGCCATTTTCTGGGGAGAAATTCAAGCTGGCTGTGGAAATTTGCATAAGTAACAAGGAGCCAAATGCCAATAGCCAACACAATGGGAAAAAAGTCTTCAGGACATTTCAGAGATATTTGTGGCAGCCCATCCCATCACAGGCCCAGAGGCCGAGGAAGAAAAAATGGTTCCATGGGTTGGGCCTAGGGCCCTGCTGGTCTGTGCAGCTTTGAGGCATGGTACCCTGCATCCCAGCTGCTCCAGCTTCAGCTGTGGCTAAAACGGACCAAGGTACAGCTTAGGCCATTGCTTCAGAGGTGAAAGCCCCAAGTCTTGGTGGCTTCCACATGGTATTGGGCATGCAGGTATGCAGAAGGCAAGAGTTAAGGCTTGGAAGCCTCCACCTAGATTTCAGAGGATATATGGAAACACCTGGACGTCCAGGCATAAATCTGCTGCAGGGGCAGATGTTGGGGTGATCAGACCCAACACCAGGTCATGGGGGTGACGAAGTCTGGTGGAGTCAAAGGAATGAGAAAAGACAGTTAGAGAGAGAAACTGGGTCCAGGGGGCCAATGTGAGTATGGAGGCTGTGAAGGCCCTGAGCTCTGGAAGCCCAGACTATTTATTGGTGATCAAAGAAACAGGTGGTGAGAATGTGGGGTTGAAAGGGCGCATTGCATTAAGCACAAGATTTACAGCTGTAATGGTTTAGAATATGCTCTGCTACTTGAGATAATGGAGAGCAGGTTCTTTTAACTCAAGATACAATCAATCCTGGGAGAGCAAGGAGCAAGGAGCCAGCAAGTCTAGACACATTTCAGAGACCATGAGGGGTTTTATGCTCTGAGCCCTGGATTCTATCCAAGCCATGAGGGGTTTTGTGCTCTGAGCCCTGGATTCTATCCAAGCCATGAGGGGTTTTATGCCCTGGGCTTAGATTATGGTGCATCAGGGTAGCCTTCCACCTTTTAGCACAGAGCTTGGTGTTCCAAAGGCCATGAGGGGTTTTAGACCCTGGACCTTGGACATGTTCCAAGACTCTTTTACATCATTTCAGACTTGCAAGCCCTGCCTCTGTTTCTCCCAACACTCAGCTTCTCCCAACATGCCCCCCTTTTCTTTTTTGTAAAACCGCCACAGCTCTCATTGCTTGTTCTTGGTGGCAGCTTTCTCTTCAGAGGTGGCTTCCTCTTCAGAGGCAGCTTCCACATCTGCAGACTAAAAGGAGACAGCACAAGCACACAACCACCAGAACAAAATCCACAAATGTAGAGCCTCCAATGGCCTTCAACTGTAAATCTTTTGGAATGGGATAAGAGTTTTTAAGGATCTCAGTTACAATATAAATAGAGGGTGATGTCTCCCATGGTCTATTTAGTGACACAGGGAACCAAACTCCTTCCCTGGCTTTAATTATCAAGATAATTTGATTTTTATCAAAGGTTGAATTAATGCAGGTAAACAAGCAACATTCAGAGCATGTAATAAAACGTGTATTTATATCAAGAGTAACATTTCCTATTGCTAGCACAACCTTGAATCCAAAAGGTCCTGTCGGAGAGAAAAGAAAGAGCATTTTTATCCTTCCTTGCCTCCTCCTCTCTATTCCTTTTATATTTGCCCTCTCAGATTTTGATTGGACTTTGAGCCATAGCTAATTTCCATAATTCAGAATGTTCCTGTCTGTCCCTGCAAATCTCTGCTAGTCTTCACTACTCTCTACTTTTGTACCTCTTTAAGGCACTGACCAGTACCTCTTTAGGGCACTGACCTTATATTGCTAGTCTTTGCTTTTGTACCTCTTTAGGGCACAGACCAGTACCTCTTTAGGGCACTGACCTTATATTACTAGTCTTTACTTTTGTACCTCTTTAGGGCACTGATCAGTACCTCTTTAGGGCACTGACCTTATATTGCTAGCCTTCATCTATCTCTATCTGTCCCTGTCTGTCCCTATGGTACCTGTTAGTTCCTGCAAGTTCCTGTCTTTCCCTACTTAGCTGTACTTACTTAGCTCTACTTACTTAGCTCTACTTACTTAGCTCTATCTCTTCCTGGAAACCTTTTTTATGACCCTGGATAGAGCTCAGAAATCCACCCTTTAAGCTTCAGCAAGAGATAAAACAGGGACTCTGGACCCGGCACCAGATTGAAAGGAACAGGAAGTGCTCTCCCCCTCCCCAAAGCAGGAAAACCAGAGTTTGGCCCTTGCAAATTTCCACTCCACATCAGCGTCATCCTCAATTTCCTGGAGTGAACTGTTGATCATTGCAATTAACATATTTAGCAAAACAATGACCATTGTAACATCATAGACTCCATAAAGAACATAACCAATGTTTTCAATGAATTTGTGGCTATAGTTGATGACCACTGATTTCACTGCAGAAAGCACAAATGTAGCCCAGAACAGTGTCTTAAAACTCTCTTCAACTGTTGTGAAGGCTTCATTTTGTTTTACATCAATGTAGTAGGAGTAGAGGTTGAACATTCCAATCATAAAGGCCACAAACACCATAATGAATATGAGCATGAACCTGAAGATGTCTTTGACTGCTCCTCCAAGCGACGTCTGCAGAGGTCCAAAGCTTTCATTTGCTGGCAAAATACAAGCTATCCCAGAGAAACTCAAAACCACAGCAACTGCACAAAGACCTTCAGACACCATACGAGGATCCGAGGGGTCCCACTCCCTCCTGGCCAAACTGTAGTATTTCACATTATCTCCCAATGTTACTTTTGTCAAGTCCTTCAAAGTATCACTTGCATCAGTGATGCTCTGGGCTTTGGAAGCATGCCAGAATGCCCTGAATCTTGCAATGAATGATGCTGATAAAATTGCTAACATACCAAAATCAAGCATGTTCCACAACTCAAACAAATATTCCTTGGGGCCTTGAGTCCAAATTTCTTTACATTCAGCCCATATCATGCCTCTGCGCTCATTAAATCTGTTTTTCTCTAGCAGAGGAAGGTTAACCATGAAACTGAAGCTTCAAGATGACTTTACTTGCCCAGGCTCCTTCTAAGTCCTCACTTTGTCTTCTGTTTCTCTAAATGGGGCCCTCTGAATAAACAAGCCTCAGATTCCCCTGGTCTTACCCCATGCCTCACCCTCTTCGTAATAAGTGCCTTAAGAAATTCAAGTAAGCAGAATGTTTGCTTTCACTTTGTCCCATCATTGTTAACCTGGTTCTTCCGAGTGCTAAGCTTTCCCACCGAGCTTCTTTCAGTTATCCTCGGGTGTCCTTTGACAATGCATCCTCCGCTTTCACACGCTCTAGTGTTCCTTCACCGGGATCTTTGTTGCCTCACGTTGGGCAGCCAGGAATGTTGGGGTGATCGGACCCAACACCAGGTCATGGGAGCGATGAAGTCTGGTGGAGTCAAAGGAATGAGAAAAGACAGTTTGAGAAAGAAAGTGAGTTCAGGGGGCCATCGCTAAGTATGGAGGCTGTGAAGGCCCCGAGCTCTGGAAGCCCAGACTATTTATTGGTGATCAAAGAAACAGGTGGTGAGAATGTGGGGTTGAAAGGGCGCATTGCATTAAGCACAAGATTTACAGCTGTGATGGTTTAGCATATGCTCTGCTACTTGAGATAATGGAGAGCAGGTTCTTTTAACTCAAGATACAATCAATCCTGGGAGAGCAAGGAGCAAGGAGCCAGCAAGTCTAGGCACATTCCAGAGGCCCCTGGGGGGTTTTGTGCCCTGAGCCCTGGATTCTATCCAAGCCACGAGGGGTTTTATGCCCTGGGCTTAGATTATGGTGCATCAGGGTAGCCTTCTACCCTTTACCACAGAGCTTGGTGTTCCAAAGGCCACGAGGGGTTTTAGACCTTGGACCCTGGAAATGTTCCAAGACTCTGTTACATTATGTCAGACATGCAAGCCCTGCCTCAGCTTCTCTCCCAACCCTCAGCTTCTCCCAACAGGCAGAGCCCTCATGGAGAACCTCTACTAGAGCAGTGTGAGAACCTCTACTAGAGCAGTGCAGAGGGGAAATGTGGGATTGGAATCCCCACACAGAGTCCCCAGTGGTGCACTGCCTGGTGGAGCTGTGAAAAGAGGGCCACCATTATCCAGACCTCAGAATGGTAGATCTACTGATGGCTTGCACCATGCACCTGGAAAAGCTGCAAGCAGTCAACACCAGCCCATGAAAGCAGCTGTGGGGGCTGTACCTTGCAGAACCTCAGAGGCAGAGCTGCCCAAGGCCTTGGGAGCCCATCCCTTGCATCAGTGTGGCCTGGATGTGAGACATGGAGTCACAAGAGATCATTGTGAAGCTTTAAGATTTAATCATTGCCCTGCTGGGTTTCAGACTTACATGGGGCCTGTAGCCCCGTTGTTTTGGCCAATTTCTCCCATTTGGAATGGGAACATATACCCAATGCCTGTACTCCCATTGTATCTTGAAGTAACAAACTTGTTTTTTATTTTAGAGGCTCATAGGTAAAAGGGACTTACTTTGTCTCAGATGAGACTTTGTACTGTGGATTTTTGAGTTAATGCTGAAATGAATTAAGACTTTAGGGGACTATTGGGAAGGCATGATTAGATTTGAAATGTGAGAAGGACATGAAATTTGGAAGAGGCCAGGGAAGAATGATATTATTTGCCTCTGTCCCCACCCAAATCTCATGTCAAATTGTAATCCCCATGTGTCAGGGAGGGATCTGGTGGGAGGTGATTGGATCATGGGGGCAGATTTCCTCCATGTTGTTCTTGTGATAGTGAGTTCTCCTGAGATCTAATAGTTTAAAAGTGTGGCACTTCCTGATTTGCTCTTTCTCCTGCCACCATGTAAGATGTGCCTGGTTTCCCCTTCACCTTCCATCATGATTGTAAGTTTCCTGAGGCCTCCCCAGCCGTGTGGAACTGTGCATCAATTAAACCTCTTTTCTTTATAAATTACCCAGCCTCAGGTAGTTCTTTATAGCAGTGTGAAAATGGACTAATGCAATACCCGTGAGGAAAATGAAGGACTAGCACATTGGGCCTTAATAAACATTTAAAGCTGAATAACTGGCCCCCATATCTATAATGAACGTTACCTCTGGTTCAGTCTCAATCAGATTTGCCTGAGGCTCATCCATACAGATGGAAAAGATAGGAGCCTGGAAGGCCTCAATGTCCCATCAATCATCTAGAGGATGACTTTCAGAGGCTTGATCATAATCCAGGAATAGAGTTAGAGGTGCTTGTCCTTGCCCTTGCCCTCATCCTTGTCCTGCATGACACCCCTGTCAGATAGGTTGGTGAGGTTGTGGCTGTAACAGCCTAGAAGGAAGAGGTGGCCCTCTCCTGAGAGAGAGAGGGACACTTACTCTTCTAATGATCCTCTTGTTTGCAATGAGGACAGGGTCCTGGGGGTAGCTTGTAATTTGGAGGTTTGGGATATTCTCTACTCTAGTGTCCTGGATTCCTGCAGCGATGATAGGCCCCCATTCTGTTAGTATTATAGGGATGAGTCTTGGGTTTATTAGCTAACGAAAAATAATGTATCAATGCCATTGCCATGTAATTCGCTTGGCAATGGCATTTTTCCTCCTCCAATTGAGCCTTTTTTTATTTTTGAGGTTGCCTCCCAGTCATTGAAAACCTTAAAGGCTGTATTTAGTAAAGTAGGGAAGGGAATGTGAGTGCCTTGCTCTAATTTTTGGAGTTTTTGTCTGATGTCTGGGGAAGCCTGACGTATAAGCTGTACAGCCAGAATGGATTGGCCCTTAGGGCTTTCAGGGTGTGAATTTGTATATTTATGCATTGCCTCCACCAGTCCAGCTTGGAAAAGGGTGGAGTTCTCAGATGGTTCCTGAGTGATTTCTTGTAACTTAGAAAAATTAACAGGTTTTATCACAGCCTTTTTCATTCCTTCCATCAAGCACGTTATTATATAATCTCATCGGCAGATGAGATAACGTTTGTTATTGCCAATTGGGTTCTCTGTTGAGGACAGCTTCTGCCTCAACCCTTTTATCATTAGGATTATGAGCATGAACTTTATTTGTCTACGCTTGAGCTAAAGACCATATGTGTGATTTTTCTTTGTGGGAATGGCACGAATATGTCTTGTCAGGTTAAATCAAAGGAGTTCTTGAGTGAACTTAGAGGGATCCTGGCAAAATGAATCCAATGTGGGTTGAATTTGTGAAAGATCAGACATTGGAAAAGGGACATGAACTCAAATTGTTCCCAAATCTCTATTTGCCATCTTGTGGACAGGCAAAACATTTTTGGGATTTTTGGAGGAATCTTAGAGTTGCATATGTGACTCCCGAGTGAGTATGTGAGGGGGATAAAGTATCTGGTTATGGGAAGGGTTGATTAGGGGATGGAGCAGATGGAGAGGTTGTAGGTGAAGCAGGAGCAGGCTGAGGAGAGTGTGGTATGCAAAAGGAAGGATCGTCTAAGACATCAGAATCAGGGGGAGAGGAAGTTCCTTGGAAGCATGTATGATAATTTTTATTTGGGGATTTGGGGATAAAGCCAAAAAGACCTCAACATGTGGGACCTCTGAATGCAAAAAAAAAGTATACACTTCTTTTTGGGAGTTTGTGGGTTAAAATGGGGTCACTTTTTAAGACTGCAACCCAAGGGCGAGTAGGAATGACTTGCCCTTGCCTGGATGACCAGGCCAGGTGTGCCCTTGTTTGAGTGGTCAACTCAAACCTAATGGGAAGGAGAACTCACCCGTAACTTGGGATATGGTGCCTCTGATGTTGAATCCAAAATTGTGTCCACAACCAGTGGAATGTGAAGAGTTGAGATTATTGTTTCCAAGGCATGGGTTACAGAGTGTTCAGTGAAAGTGGACTTGCCACCACAAATGGCTAATTATTATTTTTTCATTTTTTTATTTTGTAGAGATGGAGTTTTAGGTTTTGTTTGTTTGTTTTGATATTGAGTCTAGCTCTGTCACCCAGGCTGGCGTGCAGTGGTGCGATCTGGGCTCACTGCAACCTCAACCTCCTGGGTTTAAGCAATTCTCCTGCCCCAGCCTCCTGAGTAGCTGAGATTATAGGTGCACACCACCACGCCAGGCTAATTTTTTTTTTTTGTATTTTTAGTAGAGACGGGTTTCACCTTGTTGGCCATGCTGGTCTCGAACTCCTGACCTCACATGATCCACCTGCCTTGGCCTCCCAAATTTCTGGGATTACAGGTGTGAGCCACTGCACCTGGCTATCAGCAGATTTCTAATCATAAATTTTGGGGAACAGAAGGTAGTGGGCTCATATATTTAAAGCAGTGGAAGAAAATAGCTGTCAACCAAGACTCCTGTACTTAAAAGGTGAGGGAGAAATTAAGACATGCCCACAGAAACAAAAGCTGAGAGATTTCATTACGACTAGGTCTGCCCTGCAAAAAATGCCAAAAGGAGTCCTTCAGGTTGAAATGAAGGGACACTAGGCAGTAATTTGAAGCCATAAGAGGAAATAAATTTTTTTTTGAGACAGAGTCTTGCTCTGTTGCCCAGACTGGAGTGCAATGGTGCGATTTCGGCTTACCACAACTTCCACCTCCCGGGTTCAAGCAATTCTCCTGTCTCAGCCTCTCTAGTAGCGCCACTGCACCCAGCTAATTTTTTGATTTTTAGTGGAGACGGTGTTTCGCCATGTTGGCCAGGCTGGTCTTGAACTCCTGACCTCAGGTGATCCTCCCACCTCGGCCTCCCGAAGTGCTGGGATTACAGGCGTGAACCACCTCACCTGGCCAGAAATAAAGATCTTAGTAAAGGTAAATACAAGAGCAGTTATAAAAGCTACTATTAACTTTGGGTTGTAATTCTATTTTTTGTTATTTTACTTGATTTAAGAGCCTAATACATGATAATGAGTATTAGTGTAAAAGCTAGTATTACTGTAAGTGATTTGTAACTTCACATTTTGTCTTCTACATAATGTAAGAGATTAATGAATTTAAAATTATTAGTTTATATTTCTGGACATACAATGTATAAATATGTAATTTTGTAACATCAGTAACTGAAAAGGAGTGGGGATGGAACTGTACAGGGGCATAGTTGTTTTTTTTTTTTTTTTTTTCGGAGACAGGGTCTCACTCCGTCACCCAGGCTGGAGTACAGTGATGCAATAACGGCTCATCGCAACCTGAACCTCTCGGGCTTAGCTGATACTCCCACCTCAGCCTCCCGAATAGCTGGGACTACGGGCGTGCATCATCATGCCTGGCTGATTGTTTTTTTTTTTTTTTTTTTGTGATGGAGTCTCACTCCGTCACCCAGACTGGAGTGCCATGGCGCAATCTTGGCTCACTGCAAACTCTACCTCCCTGGTTTAAAAGATTCTCATGCCTCAGCCTCCTGAGTAGCTGGGATTAGAGGTGAATGCCACCACACCTGGATAATATTTGTATTTTTTAGTAGAGACGGGGTTTCACCATATTGCCCAGGCTGGTCGAAAAACTCCTGGGCTCAAGTGATCATCTTGCCTCAGGCTCCCAAAGTTCTCACAGGCATGAGCCACTGTTCCTGGCCTGGTTTTTGTATGTTATTGAAGTTAAGTGATAGAAATTCAAATTGGAGTGTCTTAATATTAGGAGGTTAAATGTAATCCCATGGTAGCCACAAAGAAAATAGCTTAGCTATAGAATATCCACAAAATGAAATGAGAAGAGAATTTAGATGTTTCACTGTAAAAAAAAATCAACTAAACACAAAAGAAGACAGTAATGCAGGATATAAGGGACCACAAAAAAAAGCCATAGGGCATATAGAAAACACATGGCAAAATCACATAAGTGAGTCTCTCCTTATCAGTAATTATTTTGAATGTAAGTGGATAAACTCTCCAATCGAAAGATAGAGATTGGCAGAATGGATTAAAAAAACATGATCCAGGTGGGTGGTGGAATGGGGAAGATATTGGTCAAAGAGTATAGTTTCAGATGGGAGGAATAAAGTGTTTTACTTGAAATTTATTGCACAGCATGGTCGCATGGTGAATGTAGGGTTTTGGTTGCTTTTTTTTTTTTGCCTTTTTTGCAACAAGGTCTCATTATTTTGCTTAGGATGGAGTACAATGACACAATTACAGCTTACTGTAACGTTGAACTCATGAGCTCAAGTGATCCTCCCACCTCAGCCTCTTGACTAACTAGGACTATAGGCACCGCACCTGACTGTTTTTTAATTTTTAACTTTGTAAGAGATGGGGTTTTGCTGTGTTGACCAGGCTGGCCTTGAACTTCTCACCTCAAGTAGTCCTCCCACCTTGGTCTCCCAAAGTGTTGGGATTACAGGCGTGAGCTTCCTGCCCAGCCATAAATGTAATTTATTGCACATTTCAAAATTGCTAAGAGTAAATGTTCTCACAACAAAGAAAAAGTATATGAGGTGATGGATATGTTAACTACTTTGATTTAAGCACTTCACCTTATATTCCTAAATTCTAATATAACATTGTACTCCATAAACATATACAATTATAATTTGTCAATGTACCACTTAAAGAAATGATCCAAGCCTGGGCAATGTGGCAAAACCCTGTCCCTACAAAACATACAAAAAGAAAAAATAGCCAGGTGTGGTGGTGCCCACTTATGGTCCCAGCTACTTAGAAGGTTGAGGTGGGAGGATCACTTGAGCCCAGGATGTCAGTGAGCTGTGATTGCACCACTGCATTCCAGCCTGAGCAACAGAGCAAGACCTGTCTCAAAAAATAAATACAGAAATAACATTTAAAAATGATCCAAGTATACACTGTCTACAAGAGTCTCACTTTAGATCTAAAGACACAAATAGGATGAAAGTAAAAGGATAGGGAAAGACATGTCATGCAGATAGTAACCAGAAGAGATCAGGAGTGGCCATATATAAATAATCCAATCACAGAAAGATTAATACTGTATAGGCCGAGTGCGGTGGCTCACACCTGGAATCCCAGCACTTTGGGGGACTGAGGCGGGCAGGTCTCTTGAGTCCAGGAGTTCAAGACCAGCCTGGCCAACATGATGAAACCCTGTTTCTACTAAAAACACAAAAATTAGCCAGGTGTGGTGGCGAACGCCTGTAATCCCAGCCACTCGGGAGGCTGAGGCACAAGAATCACTTGGACCTGGGAGGTGGAGGTTGCAGTAAGCCATGATCGTGCCACTGTACTCCAGCTTGGGCGACAGAGAGAGACTCTGTCTCAAAAAAAAAAAAAAAAAAAAACTTTGGAAAAAAAATTAATACTATATAAGTCCACTTATATGAGGTACCTAGCATAGACAGAAAGTAGAATGGTGGTTAACAGGTGGTTGTCAAGTTGAGGGGAGGAGGGAATGGAGAGTTGTTGGTTAAGGGTACAAAGTTCCAGTTTTGCAAGATGAAAAGGATTGTGGAGATGGGTGGTGGTGATGGTTGCACAACAATATAATAGTACTTAATATGTTAATATCACTGAACTGTACACTTAAAAATGGTTAAGATGGCCAAGCATGGTGGCTCATGCCTGTAATTCCAGCACTTTGGGAGGCCAAGGCAGGAGGATCACTTGAGGCTAGGAGTTCAAGACCAGCCTGGGCAACACAGTAAGACCCATTCTCTAAAATAAAAGCAAAAAATTAGCCAGGTGTGGTGGTGGACACCTGTAGTCCCAGCTATTCAGGAGGCTGAGGCAGGAGGATCGCTTGAGCCCAGGTGTTTGAGGCTGCAGTGAGCTATGATTGCATCACTGCATTCCAGCCTGTCTCAAAAAAAAAAAAAGTATAAACCAGTGTAAGCATGCTGGATCCATACAAATGTATAAACCATTCTTAGCTCACAGGTTTTAAAAATTAGGCTGGATTTGGCCCGTGTCATTTGCTGACCTCTGTTCTACCTCATAGGGCTGTGACAATTTATGTAGTTTAACATATAACAAGTCCTCTCTGTATCCATCTTGCAGATAAGGAAACTGAGGCTCAGAGAGGTTAATGTTCCTTCTTCTTGTATGCATTGTTATAATTTATTCCATATTTGAGACAGGGTCTCACTCTGTTGCCCAGGTTGGAGTGCAGTAGCCTGATCATGGCTTACTGCGGCCTCAATCTCCCCGGGCTCAGGTAATCCTCCTACCTCAGCCTCCTACTGGGACTACAGGTGCATACCACGATGCCCAGCTAATTTTTGTATTTTTTTTTTTGTAGAAACGGGATTTCACCATGTTGCCCAGGGTGGTCTTGAACTCCTGGGCTCAAACAATCCACCCACCTCAGCCTCCCAAAGTGGTGTTATTACAGGCATGAGCCATCATGCCTGGCCTATTCCTTTTATTTAAGATGCACTTTTTGCTTATATATTTTCTTTTCTTTCTTTTTTCTTTCTTTCTTTCTTTTTTTTTTTTTTTTTTTTGAGACAGAGTCTTTCTGTGTCAGCAGGTTGGAGTGCAGTGGCATGATCTTGGCTCGCTGCAACCTCTGCCTCCCGGGTTCAAGTGATTCTCCTGCCTCAGCCTCCCAGGTAGCTGGGATTACAAATGTGCACCACCATGCCCAGCTAATCTGTGTATTTTTAGTAGAGACAGGGTTTCACCATGTTGGTCAGGCTGGTCTCAAACTCCTGACCTCAAGGGATCCATCTGCCTCGGCCTTGATTCTTTTGTATAGAACCACACCTGGCCTTGGTTCTTTTGTATAGTTTCTATTTCTCCTCTGAGATTTCCTATGTATTCATTGGGAGCATATTTTCCTTTATATATTTGAGCATAGTAAGAGTATCTGCTTTAAAACCTTTGCTATTTCCAACAACTTATTCCTGGAAGTCAATCTTCATTGATTATCTTTTCTCTTAAGCATGGGTGACATAGTACTCTTTCTTCATGTGTTTGATAAATTTGTTTTTATCTTAGAAATTGTGAATGGTATACATTGTTGAGACTGTGTGTTCTGTTATATTTCTCTGGAGGGTGTTTAAAAATTTTTTTTAATTTTGTTTTTGTTTGTTTGTTATTTTAGCAGGCAGAAAACTCTGTGTCCTGAGGTGAACAGCTGAAACTTCTGTTCAGGTTATTTAACCTTAGCTGGGCTCCTTGGAGTTAGCTGGCAGATGTATAGTTCAAGGGTCATCCAGAGATTTGGGTAGAATTTAGATGTAGAATTTGGGGCTCTCTTCTCTGGTTTTTCTTTTGAGAATTTCCTTTCTCCCTATCCAGCCCTTGTGGTCTCTGCTTCTGAGGTTATGATATGGGTAGTGTGGTCTGCTGGTCTTGAGTTAGTAAATTCTGGCTTCAGCAAGATAGAAGGCACACTGACAGAAAGAAGCTGTCTTGGTAAGGACACTAGTGCAGGGATGGCTCCAGTGAGTAGAACAGTATATGCTTGTAGCAGGTAAGACTGGAGCCAAGCTGATTAAAATTCAACCCCAAAGAACACACAAGTAATAAATACATGAAAAGATGCTTATCTTGACTAATACTCAAGGAAGTACAAATTAGAACCACATTGAAATATCTTAGCCTATCAGATTGGCAAAGATGAAAAAGACTGATAATGTTTACTGTTGGTGAAGGTTACAGGCATTCTTACATTGTTGGTGAGAGCAAAAGTCTGTGCAACACTTTTTATGTAGGGCCATATCTCAGCATCTATCAATATTTTAAAATGCTAACCCTAAGACCCCACAATTCTACCCCTAGCAATTTATCCTACAGTAGGACTCACTCTGTTGTTTGAAGATCCATGCCCAGAATTATTCACGAAATTCACTTAAAATAGCATATATGCTTGAACCCAGGAGTCTGAGGCTGCAGCGAGCTATGATCATGTCACTGCACTCCAGCCCAGCCTGGGCGACAGAGCAAGACTCTGTGTCTAAAGAAATGAAAATAAAAATAAATAAAATAGCATATACAGGCAACAATCCAAATGTTCATTGCAGAAATTATGATTATTATTGTTTTTCTTTTAGAGGCAGGGTGTCACTCTGTTGCCCAGACTAATCTTGACCTCCTGTGATCCTCAAGAGATCCTCCGGTCTCTGCTTCCCAAAGTTCTTGGATTACAGGTGTGAGGCACTGGGCCTAGACATTGCAGGGATTATTAAACCATGGTGCATACTACCATTAAAGGTATGAGGTAGGTTTTATATGCTGACCTAGAAAGATGGTGCAACACCATAGGGGAACAAGAAGGCTGCAAAGTGGCAGCACAGCAGGAGTCTTTAAGAAATAGGTATTTGTTTCAGCTTAAGAAGTGTCTGGCTGGGCGTGGTGGCTCACACCTGTAATCCCAGCACTTAGGGAGGCTTAGGTGGGCGGATCACTTGAGGTTAGGAGTTCAAGACCAGCCCAGTCAACACGGTGAAACCCCATCTCTACTAAAAATACAAAGAAATTAGCTGGGCTTGGTGGCAGGTGGCTGTAATCCCAGCTACTCAGGAGCTGAGGCAGGAGAATCATCTGAACCCGGGAGGCCGAGGTTGCAGTGAGCCTAGATCGCACCACTGCACTCCAGCCTGGGTGACAGAGTAAGACTCGGTCAAAAAAAAAAAAAAAAAAGACCGGGTGCGAGGTGGCTCTCGCCTGTAATCCCAGCACTTTGGGAGGCCTAGGCAGGAGGATCACAAGGTCAGGAGATCGAGACCATCCTGGCCAACATGGTGAAACCCCATCTCTACTAAAATACAAAAATTAGCCGGGTGTGATGGCACACGCCTGTAGTCCCAGCTACTCAGGAGGCTGAGGCAGGGGAATCGCTTGAAACCAGGAGGTGGAGGCTGCAGTGAGCCGAGATCACGCCACTGCACTCCAGCCTGGCGACAGAGCAAGACTCCATCTCAAAAAAGAAAAGAAAACAAACAAACAAACAAAATCCCCAAAAAGCAAAAGTGTCTGCATGGACTTGTGCCTAACTACTCACAGTGGCTACTTCTTGGGGGAGGTGAAAGGGGACCCTGTTAAAGAATTTTTCTTCTGTATTGTTTTTCTTCAACTGAGTCTGCATTAATTTTATATTTAATACTCTCCCCACCCCTGATGCTCACAGGTTGCTTTAGCTGGTGGAAGGAGAACCTGCACCTCTGGTTTTGGCAAAGTGTAGAAGGGGACAAGGGCACTGCTCTGCACCTGCACAGGTTCTTGCCTCCTGGGGTCAGTTTAATGAATCTCAGTGGTGTTTCTTGGGAAGAACACAGTGGACACTCACTTGCCAGTCAGTAGACAAATCACTGAAGTCCATGTCTGGCAGTTCTCAATGTCATGGGGACTGTAAGGTTGTCATGTCTCACAGTTCCCTGACTTAGAAGATTAGTGGTGACAGACACTTCTCAGCTCTGCTCGGGAGAGCAGCTCTGTAATGCGCTTGTGGTTTCAGATGTGGGCGGCCTGTGTGAACCTGTCGTGCAAAGCTCACGTCACCAACTGCTGCAGTTATCTCCTGAATCAGGCTGAGGGTCTTTGCTGTGCACCCAGAGATAGTTGGGTGACAAATCACCTCCAGGTTGGGGATGCCTCAGACTTGTGATGGGACTGGGCAGATGCATCTGGGAAGGTGAGTCTGTGCTTTGGGCTTCCCAACCTCTCAAGTCAGCATGAAATTCAGAAGGCAGAGAGGGACATGTGGCCCTCCAACTCGGGGCCCAGGGAGCCACTGTGGCATTTGAGAGCGCCACCCTAGCTTTACCTCCTCTGGTGTCCTGGCCTTGTGTATCTCTTAGAGATGGCAAAATTTGCAGCCCTGACCTCAAGGATTACAAACTAATTTCCAGTCCTGTAGGGGTCATGGGTTCTGCTGTGGCCAGTGTGGCACTGAGTTTGTCAGGCAGAATTTCTAATTATGGAAGGAACTCTGCTTCCTCAGTGATTGAACTGACCTTTGTGGGGGTGCCTTTGTGGGGTGAGAATGGGCATACTTGGGCCTCAGTTGTGATGGCCATGGGGTGGAGCTGAGGTCTAGGCCCAGGGCTGGGAAAGCTTCTACCAACCCCGAGGCATTTGGGTGTTTTAGGGCAGAAGAGGAGCCAGGAGGATGGGTATGCCCCACTGGAGCTGTGTGTGGGGCAGCAGGTGAGGGTGGGATTCCAGAGGGAGGGTCAACCCAGCCAAGCAGAGGAAGGGGAGGAGAGGGTTTGTTTTGGAAAGAACATCACCCTCTCAGTTTCCTGGGGTCTGGATAGCCTGTTCTTGTGATGAGCTGGAGGATGTGGGCCCTGCTTGGATCCTCCTCTCCCCTCCCTGCCCCCATTTTCTCTTCCTGTGATTTATGCTGTTCTGGGCTCACCCTCTTCCCAGAGCTGTCACGCTACAGCTGACAGGCAGGGCAGGCGTTTTAATTATTATTAATTTTTTTTTGAGACAGAGTTTGAGACAGTATCAAGAGTGGGTATCCTCTCAGCGTGTCTTCAAGTAGCATCCCAGAGCCCCGCTCCTGGGTACCCACAACATGAACACCGTCCAGAAGCAAGGGCAGCCTCTGCAGGTGGGGCGGGGGTTGGAAAACATTTATCAAACGGTTGAGTTGGGTGCAGGGGATGCAACATGATCAAACAGGGTCTTGCCTCCAGGAGCCTCATGTAGGGACAACGCACAGTGATGACCTTCAACTGCAGTGGGGCAGCAAGGCTGTGGGAGGGGTGTTTTGGGCAGAGCAGGCGACGTGGGTACCTCTTCACCAAGACAGCAGGAAGAGCACGGACATCATTTTCCCGTCTCACCTCCAGACTCCCAGGGGACTGTGCCAATATCCTCACTCCAGCCCTGGCCCATGGCCACTGCTCAACCCTTGGGCCCTGTCAGTTCAGGGCTGTGCAGAAGGAGAGTTGCCTGTGCTCAGGCTCAGGGGTTCCGTCCAGCTAAGGAGGCCTACTAGGGGACTGGGGAAAGGCCTCATGAAGGACCAGGCCTGTGATGGGGAGGGAAGATGGCAGAGGGGACAGTGGGAAGCAGAGCAGCAGGGGTCTCCTCCACGCCTCTCTGTACTTCTCCCACCCACCCTTGCCTACTCCCCTCTGCCCTGGGTATGTGCCCTTGTCCACCCAACACCTCTGCAGTGCCAAGTCCAGCCCTGACTTCTTCCTGAGCTGTGGCCCAGCGTTCCCACAGGCATTTACCTCACGGATGCAGCACTGCCCCTCATCCTCTTCTCTGAAAGTGTGTGGGAAATGCTTCTTGGTGCCATCTCTCTCCCACCCTGCCTTCCCTGCACCTTCTCTATGAGGTGTCTGTTGTCTCTGTACTTGCCTCCAGCTGGCCTTTCAGACCCCATCCCTCCTGCCTCCTGCCCATCCCTACCCCTGTCAGCACCTTACATACTCTGTGCCCAACAGCATTGGGGATTCCCACTGTGCTGAAGGAAGTCCTCATGTGGTCCAGAGAGGGAGCTGGCCCCTGCTCCCATTTCCAGCACCATTTTCTGGCACAGGCTCCATGTCCCCAGGCTCCAGCTGCTTCTGGGGTACCAAGGTCTGCATTTCTTCCTCTTCCCCCAGCAGACAGAAGACCTTGCTGGACAGGTGTCCACTTCAATAGTAACTTCTGAGGCTGCCAGCCTCCTGAATGGTCCAGAAGAACCAGACCCTTCCCCGCCCCCATTAAAAAAGACAAAATATGGCCAGGCATGTTGGCTCATGCCTGACATCCCAGCACTTTGGGAGGCCAAAGCAGGTGAATCACTTGAGGCCAGGAGTACGAGACCAGCCTGACAAACATGGTGAAACCCTGTGTCTACTAAAAATACAAAAATTAGCCAGGCGTGGTGACTCATGCTTGTAAATGCTTGTAATCCCAGCTACTTGGGAGGCTGAAGCAGGAGGATCACTTGAACTCGGGAGGCAGAGGTTGCAGTGAGCCGAGATCACGCCACTGTGTTCCAGCCTGAGCGACAGAGCGAGACTCCGTCTAAAAAAAAAAAATATATATATATATACACACATATATATATGCATAATAGTCTCTGTGTAACAGTAAGTGGATGCAGTAACTGGTGTGAGGGCAACTTGGAGAGTGTGCTTGGAGGCACAGAGATGCTCAGGGCTGCCTGGACTGCCTCCATGATGGTGGCCTGCTCTGTATTAGGTGAGTGTTCAGGAAAGGTGAGGGCAGGGCAGCCCACAGCTTCACAGTGGCCCAGGGAAGCAGGGCAGGCAGGCTATGAGGCCTAGTAGGCATCTGGGCCAGACTTTGACACTGAGGCCATGGAATGGGTGGGGCTCTGAGAACAGACCAAAGTGATCATGGGCTGAAGGCTATGTCCACAGATCCAAGGCGGGATAGGCTGTGCTGGGCAGTGATGTCAGCCAGGCTCCCCAGCGGGACTGGGGGTGTCAGGGGCAGCTCTGTCCCAGGTGGCAGACACTGGTTTCCCCTCCTGCTCTCACAACCGGCCTGTTACCAGGTGTTGTCTGAGCTGTGGTGAGGCTTCCCTGGTGACATTCAGGAGCAGGGAGCCTGTGAGTAAGGGTGTATGCATCTGCCCTGACTGCCTGGCCCTGTGGTCAAGGATGGGGGAAGGCAGCTCTGCCTGCAGCTCCACCCCATTTATAAAGCACTGTGGTGCCTTCTGCTGGGGCATGTGCTGAGTGGTGCCTCGCAGGCACTGCCCTCGGGAAGTTCACAGGCTTATGTGGAAGCTGGTGGGAATGGGCCAAGAAGAGAGGTGTCAGGAGCCAGGTATTGGGCAGGTCCCAGGTCTCTGAGCCTCAGTTTCTTCATCTGTAGGAGGGTGGTGACCCTGCCCTGCTCAGCTTACCAGGTACAGATGTAAGTTTTCAGTGCAGAGGAAAAGCAGAGAACTTCCCCTCAGATGGCCATACCCCCTTGTCGCTGTACCCAACTCTCCGGTCCTACTTTGTAGCTCTCAGGTGTCACATGTGGATCCTGCCCTACCATCCCCCTTCCCTGTCTAGAAACGAGGCCTGCTGAGCTTGGAGCCATCCCACTCCCTGCTCTCAAGCCGTCTGCTCCTGGGTTAGCCTGTGGCTGGCCTGGCCTGATTCTACATAGATGTGGGTGTTTCTCCACTGCTGGGGCAGCAGTTGTCCATTCTGGGGCCTGGGTCAGCTCTCAGCTGTGGCCGTTGTGCCTGTGCTTCCCCAGGTCCTGGTGGTGACTCCAACCCTGCCCTCACATATCCCAAGAGCAGGCTGACTGCCTTCCCCATTCCCACCTTTCCAGTAACTGCTGCAAGAACGGACAGACACTGCTGCAGAGAACTTGCCACGGTGTTTCATGCTGTGGCTGGTGGTTCCAGGCTGCACGCTCCATTCTAGGAAAGGGTGAGGCTTCCTGATCATCAGTCTTAACAGGGGACTGTCCTATGGGTACCTGTATACGCTGCCGGGAGTGGGGCAGAGTGGGGTTAGAGTAGTGCCTGCTGCCCATTGGTTTGTGCGGTCCTTTAAGGCTGTAAGTCTGTGTGCGTGTCTGGTTTTTTCCTCCTCCTATCAGTAATCAGTCTTGTATAACCAGGCTGGCCCTGCTTCCTGCCTAGGGGCTATCGGTGTACCATCTGGAGTTGCAAATGGGGTGATAGGGCGTCAGCGGCCTTCCCACACCCAAGCACTTCCTGACACCCAGCCCCTCATCTCTAGCCAACCTCTGGCTCCCCTAGGGATCCTGGGGCTCAGGCCTCACGCTCCAGCATCCGGGGGCTTTGCCCTTCTGGTGTTGCTCTTCTTTGCAGGTGCCTTGGAACAGGGGTGCAACAGAGTTCAGAAAGTGCCATCTGTTGCATGGATACCCTGCTGCCACCCTCGTCCACCTTTCTGGGGCAGAACAGTTGGATGGGTCTTTATTTAAGAGGACAAAAGGGAGAGAGAATGCATAGAGGCTGGGTCTGGTGCTCACGCCTGTAATCCCAACACTTTGGGAGGCCAAGGCAGGTGGATCCCTTGAGGTCAGGAGGTCAAGACTAGCCTGGCCAACATGGTGAAACCCCGTCTCTACTAAAAATACAAAAAAAAAAAAATTAGCTGGGCATGGCGGGAGATGCCTGTAATCCCAGCTACTCGGGAGGCTGAGGCAGGATAATCACTTGAACCCAGGAGGCGGAGGTTGCAGTGAGCCAAGATCACACCACTGCACTCTAGCCTGGGTGACAGAGGGAGACTGTCTCAAAAAAAAAAATTTGCTTAGAATTTGTCTGTGTGACCCTGGGCAAGTCATTTCCCCTCCTTGGGACTCAGTTCCTTGCCTGTGAACGGGGACAGTGCTTCTCCCTTACAGAGCTGTTGTGAGAATTAAAGTAGAAAATGTACCTATGGTGGTTGTTGGTAGTGACCAGTTCCCCCAACCCTGACTCCCCTGCAGGATGGGGCCTGGGCCCGGGAATGGGGGATGGGCTGGCAGAGGATGACTGTCCCAGAGAGGAGTCTTCTCGGCAGATGTGGAGACCTAGCTGAGTCAGAGGCCAGGATCTAAGTTTGAGGGTGTTCCTTACACCCTGCAGCCATGAGTCTTTGGCTGAGTCAAATGGCCTTTCTGAGCTCAGTTCCTTATCAGTAAAGCCTGGACAGTGGTCCAGGACGCTGGACACTGTGTGAGTGTTAGGACACAGGACACTGTGTGAGTGCAGGTGGGGACCCATGGAGCACTCTGCTGGGGAGCAATTCATGGGGAGCACCCCTCCAGAGAGGGATGATTTGCACAGGGCCCTCAGCCCAGTCCCTTGCAGGCTGGACCTTGGAGAGTGAGGCCCTGAGGCGAGACATGGGCACCTGGCTCCTGGCCTGCATCTGCATCTGCACCTGTGTCTGCTTGGGAGTCTCTGTCACAGGGGAAGGACAAGGTGAGGGCTGGGCACTAATGTCTGTATGAGGTGGGTGGAGAACTAGGGCATGTTTGGGGGACTGGGTTGTCCGATGTCAAGCCTCTAGGGAAAGGTTTGGCCCAAACTGTGCTGGGGCATGTCCTCTAGGGGTCAGCCTGGACCTCAGTCTCTAGTCTCCCTACTTTTACCTCCCTACCTTCATTCCCTGGACCGACTGTAGTCTCCCTTCCTTCACTCTCTTGACGCCTCTCCAGATCTGACTTGCCCGTGTACCACAGGTCAGAGCCCATCACTTCCCAGGCCTCCCAGTGCTTCCCTGGACAGATTCTGGGATCATTTACTGGTGACTGCCCTGCTAGGGTGTCAGCTGTCAGATCCTCCCCAACCCCCGAGCTCAGCTCTGGCCTGAAGTACTTACCGTGGGCTCCTGATGGTCACTGTCTCCAGGGCCAAGGTCTAGAACCTTCACCTGCCTCACCAACAACATTCTCAGGATCGATTGCCACTGGTCTGCCCCAGAGCTGGGACAGGGCTCCAGCCCCTGGCTCCTCTTCACCAGGTGAGCATGGAGGGCCATGCCCACCTGGACAGGGATGAGGGTGAGTTCCCCAGGATTGAAGCAGCTATGCCAGGACAGTGTAGCAGCCCCGTGGTGCTGACAAATGCCCTTTCCAGCAACCAGGCTCCTGGCGGCACACATAAGTGCATCTTGCGGGGCAGTGAGTGCACCGTCGTGCTGCCACCTGAGGCAGTGCTCGTGCCATCTGACAATTTCACCATCACTTTCCACCACTGCATGTCTGGGAGGGAGCAGGTCAGCCTGGTGGACCCGGAGTACCTGCCCCGGAGACACGGTGAGCAGCAGCTATAGGTCTGGGGCGGGGCCGCTTGGCAAGAACATCCTGGCTGCTTGGGGGTTTGGAGCAGGGCCTTGCAGCCTGTGAGTGGCCCAGTGAGTGTTCTCAGTCCCAGCCGAGTGAGATCCAGGGCTGGGGGCAGGCTTGGCCCTTGGGAGGGGAGGGCCCATATGGTTACTGCAGGGGCAGGGTTTTGGCAGGAAATAAACATGCACGGCTGCTAGTTGGGGCAGGGGCTGGCACTTGAGTCATGTGAAATGCACTTCAGTCATACCAGGAAGGACTCCAATAAGATGCTGGGAAAAGCTTCCAGCAGCAGACTGTGAAGGAAAGGGAAAGCAAGATTTAGAAACCACCTAGTCTAGGTGCAGAGGCCAGAGGAAGTCATTGCTGTCCTGTCCCGCCTGGGGCTTTTGTGGACCAGTCTCCCAGTGAGGTGCCTGGTCTGAGAGGGCCTTGACCATTCCCCTTGGGAGTCTTTCAGACCCCAGTCTTGTGTGTTCTGACTGACACACCCAGACCCATGGGGCTTCAGCCTCACATGGATTCACTCTGTTCCAGTTAAGCTGGACCCGCCCTCTGACTTGCAGAGCAACATCAGTTCTGGCCACTGCATCCTGACCTGGAGCATCAGTCCTGCCTTGGAGCCAATGACCACACTTCTCAGCTATGAGCTGGCCTTCAAGAAGCAGGAAGAGGCCTGGGAGGTAACACTTTGGCTGGCTTTCCCTGGGGGCCTCTCTCCTGGGAACAGCAGTCCAGGGTAGACTCCCCACTCTACATAGGGAGATGTCAACTTGTAGTGATGAGAAGGGAGGAACTAGAGCGGGGTGTGTGTGCACACACACATGCTGGCATGCAGATGTGTATGCTTTATGTGTGTGTATGGGAGTAGGGTGAGTGCGCCTGTGTCTCTGTGTGTGCACATAAGTGTGGTGAGTGTGCATGTATGTGTTTATGTGTACACATATGTAACTGTGCACACTCATGTTTGTGTGCCCATGTTTGTGTGTTTATATGTAAGTGTACATATGTGTGTGCCTGTGCCTTGCATTTGTGTGAGTGTGCACATGGGCATGCCTATGTGTATGAGTGTGTATGTGAGTGTGGTGAGTTGCTTCTGTGCACACACTTTTGTTTATGAGTGTGCATGCAAGTGTGATGAGTGTGAAAGTGTTCCTGTAGACATGTTTGCCTGTGTGTGCATATGTGTATTTGTGGGCAAACGCAGCTGTGTCTGTGAGTGTGAGTGTGCCTTCTGTGTGTGTGTGTGCACGTGAATGTGGTGAGTGTGTCTGTGTGTTAACACAAGTGTGTTCAAGAGTGTGTTATATGAGCATATAATGCATGTGTGTATTCTCGAGGGCTGAGGGACCCAGCCCCACCTTCACCACCTGCTAACTGTCCCCACCCCCACAGCAGGCCCAGCACAGGGATCACATTGTCGGGGTGACCTGGCTTATACTTGAAGCCTTTGAGCTGGACCCTGGCTTTATCCATGAGGCCAGGCTGCGTGTCCAGATGGCCACACTGGAGGATGATGTGGTAGAGGAGGAGCGTTATACAGGCCAGTGGAGTGAGTGGAGCCAGCCTGTGTGCTTCCAGGCTCCCCAGAGACAAGGTGGGCACTGCTGTGGCTGCTGCACTTCCAGCGGAGTCTGGGCTGGGCGTCTTCTCCCCTGTTCACCTCAGCCCTGCACCCTTTCACCCTCCTGTAAGCCCCTCCCCGAGGCAGCCATGCCTCAGTTGACCCCCTTCCTCTGAAGGTCTGAGGTCTGTAGGGAGGACAGAAACACCTGCCAACTCTGGGGCTTCCTGGGAACCTGTAGTTAGTGGCTGCTGTTAGGAGTGAGGGTGGCAGGGCTGCACACCAGGGCTGGGCTCCTGCCTGGAGGCTGGACATGACCTCAGTGTCCTTAATGGGGGCTGGACTGACCCTTGCGCACTGCAGTGCTGAGATGGCCCAGGGACTTTATGACCCACCTTGTGGCAGATGGGAAGAGTGAGGCCCAGGAGTGTGGTTCACACAAGGTCCTTCAGCAGGTGACACAAACCTCCAAGGCCCATCACAAGGTCCTTCAGCAGGTGACACAAACCTCCAAGGCCCATCACAAACCTTCCACTTTGGCCCAGGGCACTAAAGGGCGCACCTTTGCCAGGTGGGTTTGGGGGGAGCCTCCTGGCACTGAGGCTGCTCACAGCCCTGGGCCCTTCCTGTCCACAGGCCCTCTGATCCCACCCTGGGGGTGGCCAGGCAACACCCTTGTTGCTGTGTCCATCTTTCTCCTGCTGACTGGCCCGACCTACCTCCTGTTCAAGCTGTCGCCCAGGTAGGTGGCTGATGTGTGCGTGTGTGTACATGTGTGAGCGGGCAAGAGTGTGCATGTTAGTGTATGTGTGCAGATGTGTGACTGTGTGCATGTGTGAGTGTGTGGTGGGTGGGCCATCAAGGGCCGCCCTTGTCTGGTTCCTCCCCTCCCCTCTCCACTGCCTGGTCCTGGACGGGGTGGGCTTTTCGAGTCTCCACCCTGGTCCAGAAGAGGGTTCTCAAGTTGCCAGGGGAGAGCAGGGAAGGGGGGTCTGAGGCAGAGGCTGAAGATAAGGGCAGCTTGGTCCCGACCAGACCCAGAGTCACCGAGATCAAGAGCCGGAGGTCCTAGTCTCCTGCCTCTGGAGGAGCTTGGTTTGTTCATTTGTTCACATGTTCTACGAAAGGACAGTTGGGGCATCTGGTGTGCTCAGGACCCTGTTCTCAGAACAAGATGGACAAGGGCCCTCCTTAAATAAACCGTCACGCCTCATGCACCACATGTCAGGTTACAAGACAGGGTGCAGGGGCCATGTCAGGCCGCAGATGTGAGGAAGAGGGTGTGGGGAGAGGGGTGTTGGGTGGGGCTAAGTGGGAGGGTGCTTCGCTTCTCCTTGGAGCAAAGGAAAGTGTAAAACTGTGTGACACAACCTAGTTTATGTTTTGAGGAATAGATTGCTGGGACAAGGGGACATGGGGGACCTGCTGGAGGCCAATGGGGGCCAGTGAGGTGCCCACAGGGAGACGATTTGGCATGAGCCAGTGAAAGAAGTGGAGATAGAGAAAAGTGGAGAGAATTGCAGGGTCTCATGAGGGGAAATAGAAGGGACATGTGGGTGGATGAGATATGAGTGGTGACCCCTGAGGTGGGGAAATGGGGGACAGCCTTGCAGGGAGGTTGGTGAAGTCTATTTGGACCTGTTGGGTTGGAGCCCCAGGTGACATCCTTGTGGGAGGGTCAGTGGATCCTTGGCAGCAAGTCTGGTGCTCAGGGAGACACTGGGTGGGGTGGGAGCCACAGACCTTCTGCTGATGGCAAAGACAGGGTTCCTGGAGTGCTGGCTCCCTCTGTGATCTGAGGACCCAGCTAGTAACTCCCCGTTCTGAACCCGCCATCGCAGCTCACGCTGTAAAGGACGCGCGCCTCAGTATAAATCAGTTCTATGCGGCCGTTAGGCAAGGAGGCCCAGTTGGGTCCTGCCCTGAGAGTGGGTTGGAATGTGATGAGATGGGAGAGAGGCAGTGGCAGGGACGAGGTGGGCGGACCTCCTGCTGATGGAAGGAAGCTCAGCCTCTGCAGTGACCTCAGGCCACCTGGGTCGCCATAGGCCTCTGACTGGCCTCTCTTGGCCTCAGGGTGAAGAGAATCTTCTACCAGAACGTGCCCTCTCCAGCGATGTTCTTCCAGCCCCTCTACAGTGTACACAATGGGAACTTCCAGGTGTGTGCAGAGACCACAGAAGGACATGGGGGGCAGGGGTTGCCCAGAGCTCTGGCCTGCCCAAGATGTTGGCTTTCACTGAGGGTTGGCGGCCAGTATGGGAGGCTTGTCAGTGCTTGGAGCCTTTTTTGTATATTCAGTGAATTTCAATTTATACGCGTATCTCAAATGGGGAAAAATTAGCTTTATTTTCCATTGCTGATTTCTTTTTGTTCTCAGGTCTCTAGTTCCATTGTTGATTGAAAAAATGTAAATTTCTCATAACTTATCTCTGTCCCCTCTGGTTTGCAGCTTTCTGCACCCACCATGTGCCTCACCTCCTCCTTCTGCGAAGGTGTCTGTCCTGTGGCCATGGGGAAGGGTCTGTGGTGTGTGTGCTGCCCTTGGGGCTCTCACTGCCTCTGGGCTCCTGCTCTGCCTGGTCCCCTGGTCTCCCCGGATCACATGATGGCACCACAGCTGAGGAGTGGGCTCTGCACTTCCCCCCCTTCCACCCATGTTGGGCTCCTACAGCCCAGGCACCAGTGAGCAACTTGGGGGTTGCATCAGCCCCTCCCCTCCCTGCTGGGCTGTTGGTTCATGCCCCCTGGGTGGGAGGAGGGGGAGAGGGAGAGCTCCAGTGAGTGGTCTCTGGTTTTTCCCCTCAGACTCCTCACTTTGGGCAAAGGACAAGAGGCAGTGAGGGCCCCTCCCTGGGGTCTGGGCCAAGCTGACCACTCTTCTCCAGAATCTTCCCTCCCTGTCCCCTTCACACTGTGGCTCCAGCTTACTATGCAGAAAAATCCTTTTCTCTCTCAATGAGGAGCGTAGTTTTCAAGATTTTTGTCCAAAAATATAATTTGAACCATGAACCGGGCATCTGGCTCTTGGCAGAGTCTCCCTCTTTCCCCAAGGTGGTAGATGTGACTGTCAGGAGCCTGGGCAGCTGACGACAAGGCTGAGCAGGTCAGATTGTGACTGTCCCCTGGACTGTCATCCTGTTGCGGGCACCAGCTGTTCCCTAGAGAACTAGGACACCTGCCACGGGTTATTTAGACCTGCGGGTGAGGATCTGGTGCCATAGGTTGGTCTCCAGGGAGCACTGCAGTGATGGAGGGTGTTGTGTGTGTGATGCATGGGATGGAGGCTCCTGGTCCCACCAAGGGAACAGCTTCCTTTTGGAGGCGGGGGCCTCCTGTGGCCCCACAGAAGGATCCAGGTCTGCTGGCCATAGCCGAGTGCTTTGAAAGTCACCAGTCCTGACAGCGATTCGTGTGTGTGTCTGTGTGTGTGTGTGTGTGTGTTTATGTGTCTGTGTGTGTTCGTGTGTGTGTCTGTGTGTGTGTTTGTGTGTGTATGTCTGTGTGTGTGTGTTTATGTGTGTGTGTCTGTGTGTGTTTAAGTCTGTGTGTGTTTGTGTGTGTGTGTCTCTGTGTGTGTGTCTGTATCTGTGTGTGTTTGTGTCTGTGTGTGTTTGTGTGTGTGTCTGTGTGTGTTTGTGTGTGTGTGTCTGTGTGTGTGTTTATGTGTCTGTGTATGTTTGTGTGTGTGTTTGTGTGTGTGTGTTTGTGTTTATGTGTGTATGTCTGTGTGTGTCTGTGTGTCTGTGTGTGTATGTGTCTGTGTGTGTTTATGTGTCTGTGTGTGTTCGTGTGGTGTGTGTGTCTGTGTGTGTGTGTTTGTGTGTGTATGTCTGTGTGTGTGTGTGTTTATGTGTGTGTGTCTGTGTGTGTTTATGTCTGTGTGTGTTTGTGTGTGTGTGTCTCGTGTGTGTGTGTCTGTGTGTATCTGTGTGTGTTTGTGTGTGTGTGTGTCTCTGTGTGTGTGTGTGTTTGTGTATGTTTGTGTGTGTGTGTGTGTGTGTTGGGAATGCCCAGTCTCTGCAGCTGCTGAAAGGCCCTGAGGCACATGCTGTCAGGAGCTGGCTCTGTCCTGGGCAGATATCACCATCTGTACCTCGGTTCAGGCTGCCGTGGGCACCAGGCCCTGTGCTGGGGGAGTGCTGAGGAGCCTGAAGGGACTCAGGGTCCCGTGATGAGGCTGGGCTGGCACATGGAGGAAAGACAGAATGTCCAAGACACAGGCGCTGCTTGGCCTCTGGGTGTGGACCTCAGGAGGGCTTCCTGGAGGAGGAGGGATGCTGGGCTTGCCAGAAAGGAGGCAGCTGCTCCCAGGATGAGTTCTGAACATGCTACCTGAGCCCTTCCCTCCTCCCGTGCTCTGTTCCAGACTTGGATGGGGGCCCACGGGGCCGGTGTGCTGTTGAGCCAGGACTGTGCTGGCACCCCACAGGGAGCCTTGGAGCCCTGCGTCCAGGAGGCCACTGCACTGCTCACTTGTGGCCCAGCGCGTCCTTGGAAATCTGTGGCCCTGGAGGAGGAACAGGAGGGCCCTGGGACCAGGCTCCCGGGGAACCTGAGCTCAGAGGATGTGCTGCCAGCAGGGTGTACGGAGTGGAGGGTACAGACGCTTGCCTATCTGCCACAGGAGGACTGGGCCCCCACGTCCCTGACTAGGCCGGCTCCCCCAGACTCAGAGGGCAGCAGGAGCAGCAGCAGCAGCAGCAGCAGCAACAACAACAACTACTGTGCCTTGGGCTGCTATGGGGGATGGCACCTCTCAGCCCTCCCAGGAAACACACAGAGCTCTGGGCCCATCCCAGCCCTGGCCTGTGGCCTTTCTTGTGACCATCAGGGCCTGGAGACCCAGCAAGGAGTTGCCTGGGTGCTGGCTGGTCACTGCCAGAGGCCTGGGCTGCATGAGGACCTCCAGGGCATGTTGCTCCCTTCTGTCCTCAGCAAGGCTCGGTCCTGGACATTCTAGGTCCCTGACTCGCCAGATGCATCATGTCCATTTTGGGAAAATGGACTGAAGTTTCTGGAGCCCTTGTCTGAGACTGAACCTCCTGAGAAGGGGCCCCTAGCAGCGGTCAGAGGTCCTGTCTGGATGGAGGCTGGAGGCTCCCCCCTCAACCCCTCTGCTCAGTGCCTGTGGGGAGCAGCCTCTACCCTCAGCATCCTGGCCACAAGTTCTTCCTTCCATTGTCCCTTTTCTTTATCCCTGACCTCTCTGAGAAGTGGGGTGTGGTCTCTCAGCTGTTCTGCCCTCATACCCTTAAAGGGCCAGCCTGGGCCCAGTGGACACAGGTAAGGCACCATGACCACCTGGTGTGACCTCTCTGTGCCTTACTGAGGCACCTTTCTAGAGATTAAAAGGGGCTTGATGGCTGTTCCAAAGTGTTGATGGCTGGGAGAAGGGGCCAGAGGAGGAGTGAGGGGTGGGGTTTGTCCAGCCCTGGGCTTTCCGGGCTCTAGAGATAGCATGGTGTAGGCTCAATGACAGTTCTGGGGACAGCAAGTTGGAGGTTCAGGGGCAGCTTCAGGACAGCAGGATGGAGGCTCAGGGACAATTCCTGGGAGGCCAGTGCCCTCGTTCCTCCTTGTCCTCATCCTCCCCCTTGCTCCAGGAAACTGAGAGCTGAGCCTGGAGCTTCCAGACAGTCAGTGCTGGGGGTGACCATCCAGCAGTGATGGTGGCCTGTGAAGGGTCCTGCTTCTGTCCTCAGCCTCTCATGGGGTGGGCTTGTGGAGGAGCTGTGGTCTGGAGAGAGTGGCAGTTGGAGCAGAACGTGCCTGCGTTTGTTTCCTAGGGCTGTCGTAACAAAGTGCCACAAAATGGTTAGCTTAGAACCACAGAGATTTGTTGTCTCACAATTCTGAAGTCCAGAAGTTGGAAATAAAGATGTTGGCAGTGTTCCCAACCACATGTTCTTGGGCTCCCATGAAACAGAAGTTGATATTAGGCCAAGGAAGCTTCCCAGACAAGACTTTATTAAGTCTTATGCCCCGAAAGTTTGGGCAGAAGAGAGACGGTGCAGGAGGAAGAATTCTTGGCTGACTCCCCAAGGGGAATGCATTGTGGTGTCTTAAGGAGGGTGACATACATAATTTATGAGCTACATGAGTGTCATTGCACATATGGGGTGGAGCGAAGGGTGCTCAGACGCATGCTAACACATACGTTGCATGATCAGAAAATGGCAGATAAGCCCCTCCCTGGGTGAGGACTTTAGTATTATCATAAGACCAGGGTCATTCTCCTGGCCTTGTGCACAAGCAGGTGATGGAGTCAACTCCCGTCAGTAAGACTTATGGCGGGATGCTGCTTATCTTAGTTTATTTCAGACAGTTGGCAAGGTCTGGCCAGCGAGTATGGCACCTGGAGGGTGGTGCTGCAAGGTCTAGTGGTCAGCGGGCACGTATGGAACAATACGTTAGTGGGGGTGGGCCGAGTCCCATTTATACTCTCTCAGCAGGGCCATGCTCCCTCTGAAGGCACTAGGGAAGGATTAGTTTCAGGCCTCTCTTCAGCTTCTGTTAGTTTCTTGGCTTGTGACACCAAAGCTGTAATCTTTCTTTTGTTTTGTTTTTGTGACGGAGTTTTGCTCTTGTTGCCCAGGCTGGAGTGCAATGGCACAATCTCGGCTCACTGCAACCTCCTCCTCCCAGGTTCAAGCAATTCTTCTGCCTCAGCCTTTGGAGTAGCTGTGATTACAGGCACCTGCTACCACGCCTGGCTAGTTTTTGTATTTTTAGTAGAGACGGTGTTTCGCTATGTTGGCCAGGCTGGTCTCAAACTCCTGATATCAAGTGATCCGTCTGTCTCTGCCTCCCAAAGTGTTGGGATTACAGGCATGAGCCACCGTGCCTGGCCAAAGTTCCAGTCTTTACAGGGATTTTTCCTTGTGTGCATTTCTGTGTCCAAATTTCCCCTTTTTAAAATCACAATAATAGTGAATTAAGGCTGGCCCTAACGATTTAATCTTAACTTGATCATCTGCAAAGACACTGTTTCCATATAAGGTCACATTCACAGCTACTGGGGTTAGGACTTCAACCTAGAGGGCCTGACTTCTGGCCCAACACATCATGGCCCATCCCAGCATGCCCCATCCCCTTCCTGGGTGCCCCAGGCAGATCACAGGAGGGCCTGACTGCTGGGCTTTGGGCTGACATTGGGATCATCTGCCTAGTTAGGGCTGTGACCAGACTGAGATAGGAGGTGGGACCTGACTCCTGAGGCAGGGCTTGAACTCTGGACCAGATTACAGACTAGCTGAAACAGGCAAAAGCACCCCTCCATAAGACACACCCACTGGTGCCAAGTGAGTTTGCCGTTCTCATGGTAACAGCTGGAAATTACTGCCCCTTTCCATGGCAATGACCTGAAAGTTACCACCCCTTTTCTAGAAATTTCTAAATAACCTCCTCCTTAATTTGTATATAGTTACAAGTGGGTATAAATATGTGTGCAGAACTGCCTCTGAGCTGCTACTCTGGGCTGACTGCCTATGGGGCATCCCTGCTCCATAAGGAGCAGTACCTCTGCTGCCACTGTGCACAGCTGCTTAAATAAAAGTTGCTCTCTAATACCACCGACTCGCCCTTGAATTCTTTCCTGGGTGAAGCCAAAAGCCCTCCTGTGCTAAACCCCAATTTCTGGGCTCACCTTTCCTGCATCAAGAGTGTTTTGGGGCTGGGAGCGCTGAAGTTTTGAAGGCAGGATGAAATGGAGACTGTTAGCTCCCTGGGTCCTGAGCTACAGGGAGCAACTCTCCTGGGTGCTCTCATGCTTCCTGCAACCTGAGCAGAAAGAAGTACCTGTAGCCTGATGCCCCCAAAGGCAAAAGCCCCTTCTGGCTCAGATAGGCAGCCCTCCCACCCTGCATGCCTGCAGAGCTTCTGGGGTTTTGTGGGGAGCCTCAGCAGAGCTGGATCCTGGTCTGTGGGGGCGAGGCAGGCCCCAGAATGTATCTTTAGCATCCAGAGAGTGGGAGGGGTGTGGACGGAAGCGAGGTACAGGCATCCTCAGCTCTAACCAAGTATAAAAATACTAGTGTGAATCCACTTCCTGGAGCTGGGCTCTGGGGAGCCCCGGGCTAGTGTATTTATAACAGGGGCTGTGTGGCTCATGAGGCTCCATGTGTGACCTGGGCTACCTCATGATCACATAAACGAACCCACAATTGGGATGCCTCTCCTGTGTGGCCTGGACACCTCTTCATTCAACTCATAAACTTTCCCTGAGTGGGCCCTGGAGAGCTGGTTCTGGGCTGGAACCTGAGAGTGAAGCCACTGGAGGCTGTGTAATTTGTAGGTGAGTCACTCAGTCACCTAAGCCTGGCCCTCCCCTCTGCACAGGGTGCTAGCCATACCTAGCAGACTGCTGTGAGTTCACCTGAGCAAGACACCTGCACACAGTGGTGCTCAGAAAAAGCTAATAATTCCTTATTGGAATGAGACAGGCCTGGCATGGTGGCTCATGCCTGTAATCCCAGCACTTTGAGAGGCTGAGGCAAGCAGACTGCTTGAGCCCAGAAGTTTGAGACCAGTCTGGGCAACATGGCAAAACCCTATCATCTCTATGAAAAATACAAAAATAATTAGCTGGGCATGGTTGTTCAGGCCTGTAATCCCAGGTACTCGGGAGGCTGAAGTAGGAGAATCACTTGAATCCGGGAGGCAGAGGTTGCAGTGAGCCGAGATCACGCCACTGCACTCCAGCCTGGGCAACAAAGTGAGACTCCATGTCAAAAAAAGAAAAGAGGCCAGGAGCAGTGGCGCATGTCTGTAATCCCAGCACTTTGGGAGGCCGAGGTGGGTGGACCACAAGGTCAGGAGTTCAATACCAGCCTGGCCAAGATGGTGAAACCCCGTCTCTACTAAAAATATAAAAAAAAAAAAAATTAGCCAGGCATGGTGGTAAGTGACTATAATCCCAGCTACTTAGGAGGCTGAGGCAGAGAATTGCTCAAACCCAGGAGGTGGAGGTTGCGGTGAGCCGAGATTGCGCCACTGCACTCCAGCCTGGGAGACTGAGCGAGACTCCGTTTCAAAAAAAAAAAAAAAAAAAAGGAAAAAAGAAAGAAAAGACCCCAGGACCATACATATTTACAGCTCAGTATTAACTAACCTTAATGAAATATGATTTTATTTAAAATGGTCAAGGTAAAGGAAAAAAAAGAGTAGTGACTTTCTTCAAGTAATTTTATGGTATAATATCAAAGCTTGATATAGTTAATACATTTCATCTAATATAGGAATGAGAATGCTTATAAAGCAGACGTCATTTTATGTACCATTACAAATACACTGCCAATTAAACAGACTTTCTCAACAAAAGACTGTTGTTGACGAGGTGACTTCCATTAGACACACAAAATGGTTTGTTTTTGTTTTCATTTGTTTTTGTTTTTTGAGACAAGGTCTCGCTCTGTCGCCCAGGCTAAATGCAGTGGCCTGAGAATGATAATGTGCCTGCTTTTCCATTTCCTGTGTTGTTTCCACTGCGTTAACAAAAGAGCCTTAAAACACAAAGCACTGGCCGGGCCCAGTGGGTCACGCCTGTAATTCCAGCACTTTGGGAGGCCGAGGTGGGTGGATCACCTGAGATCAGGAGTTCGAGACCAGCCTGATCAACATGGAGAAACACCGTCTCTACTAAAACTACAAAATTAGCCGGGCGTGATGGCGCATGACTGTAACCCCAGCTACTCGGGAGGCTGAGGCAGGAGAATCGCTTGAACCCGGGAGGCAGAGGTTGCAGTGAGTCGAGATCGCGACATCGCACTCCAGCCTGGGGAGCAAGAGCGAAACTCCTTCTCAAAAGAAAACAAAACAAAACAAACACCGAGCACTCATCTAGGGGCGCCTGTTTCATTGGCCTTAGACTGCGGTGCCTGCTGGTCCCCGACCTCACGAGGGCATCTCTGTGTTCCTCCTCCTTTCCCCGTACCAGGGTCAGCCCCAGGTGTCCCGGAGATGCAGCCCCAGGTGTCCCAGAGATGTCCTCATCGCGGACGTGGCCCCAGGTCTCCTCAGGTGTCTCGAAGCCATGGCCCCTCCTGGGTGGGTCCTGAGGAGAGAAAACTCCGTCCTCACAGTCCTCACACCCAGGGATGCCGCTGTACGGATCAGACGCAGTTCTACTGTGGCGCTCCGGGTTTGGCCGGGCCCCCTAATGGCAGCCGTGGAGAATCCCTGAAAATTAGCGTTTGGATTTTTCCATGCCGTGATTTTGGAAATTTCAACTGACATGGAGCCCACCATCCCGTGCCCCGACCGAAACCCATGGAGACAGCAAGCAAAGAAGATGGCCAGTTCACGCCTGTAATCCCAGCACTTTAGGAGGCCGAGGCAGGAGGATCACTTGAGCTCAGTGAGTTCGAGACCAACCTGGCCAACATGGTGAAGCCCCCGTCTCTACTAAAAATACAAAAAAAAAAAAAAAAAAAAAAATTAGCTGGGCGCCGTGGGCAACAACTGTATGTAGTCCCAGCTACTTGGGAGGCTGAGGGAGGAGAATCGCTTGAGCCCAGGAAGCGGAGGTTGCAGTGAGCAGAGATTGCACACCTGCACTCCATCCTAGTCAACAGAGTGGGGCTTCCTCTCAAAAAGAAAGAGGGCAGGGCATGGTGGCTCACACCTGTAATCCCAGCACTTTGGGAGGCCGAGGCGGGCAGATCACGAGGTCAGGAGATTGAGATCATCCTGGTCAACGTGGTGAAACCCCGTCTCTACAAAACATATAAAAATTAGCTGGACATGGTGGCCTGCTCCTGTAGTGCCAGCTTTGGGAGGCTGAGGTAGGAGAATCGCTTGAACCATGGAGGCAGAGGTTGCAGTCAGCGGAGATTGCGCCACTGCACTCCAGCCTGGGTGACAGAGCGAGACGCCGTCTCCAAAAAAAAAAAAAAAAAAAAAAAAAACAAAAAGCAAAAAACAAAATCAAAAACAAACATCCAGCACTGATCCCAGGGGCCTGTTTCCTCGGCCTCAGGCTGATCTCCCGACAGCGTCTCCGCGTTCTTCCTCCTCTCCCGGTACCAGGGTCTCTTCCCAGAAAGAAACTCACATCCGTAACCTGCATCTTGGCCTGAACTGGGGGTGACCCGCCCAAGCCTCCATGAAGGGGAATCTCCTACAAAGTGAGGTCCTGCTACAAAGTGCACGACGGGAAATGCAGCCGCGCTCGCTCCGCCACACTCACACCGGGGGCGGGAAGCCTTTTCCTCACCTTGGCCTCGGCCCCAAGTGGTGTCCCGGAGATGCAGCAGCGTCTCCCAGTCCTCACCGCGGACGCCGCCCCAGGTGTCCCCAGGTGTCCCCAGGTGTCTCGAAGCCGCGGTCTCTCCCATGCGGGTCCTGGGGAGAGGAAGCTCAGTCCTCATAGTGGCCGCAAAGTGACTGCCGCTGTGTGGATGAGACGCGGTGCGTGCACGGCGCCCCGAGTTGCCAGGGGCCATGCGCCCCCTTGCGGCAGCCATGGGGAGTCTCTGAAAATCAGCGTCTAGATTTTTCCAGGCTGTGGATTTTGGAAATTACGACTGAAATGGAGCCCACCATCCCATGCCTTGATCGGAACTCATGGAGCAAGGAAGCAAAGAAGATGGCCAGTTCATGCCTGTAATCCCAGCATTTTGGGAGGCTGAGGCGGGCGGATTACTTCAGGTCCAGAGTTTGAGACCAGCCTGGCTAACATGGTGAAACCGCATCTATACTAAAAATACAAAAATTAGCTGGGCATGGCGGCACGTGCCTGTAATCCCAGCTACTCAGGAGGCTGAGGCAGGAGGATTGCTCGAACCCAGGAGGCGCAGGTTGCAGTGAGCCAAGATCATGTCACTGCACTCCAACCTGGGTGACAGAGCCAAACTCCATCTCAAAAAAAAGATGGCCAGTAGGCAAAACTTAATTGATTTTCTTTCTTTTCTCTTTAAGAGACAGGGTCTCGCTCTGTCACCCATGCTGAAGTGCAGTGGTGTAATCACAGCTCCCGAGTTCAGCCTCCAGCTCCCGGGTTCAAGAAATTCTCCAGCCTCAGCCTCCCAACACACTGGGATTACAGGTGTGAACAACTGTGTCCGGCACCACCTGATTTTCCTTTATTTATTATTTTATTTTTTATGGGCGGGGCAGGTCTAACTATGTTGCCCAGGCTGGTCTAGAACTCCCAAGCTCAAATGATCCTCCCAACTAGGCCTCCCAAAGTGCTAGGATTACGGGCGTTAGCCACCACACACTGCCTGATTTTCTTTCTATCATCAGCAATAATGTATAGGAATAATTTGAACTTGAAATTTGAAAAAAATACCATTTACAATAGCATTCCCAAATTTAATTTATTAGGTATAAATCTAACAAAATACATACAAATATGCATTCAGAAAACTTTAGATCACGGTTGAGAAGAATCAAAAATATTAAATCAAATGCAGATACTCCTTGTTTAGGAGCAGTACACTCATTATTGTTAGCTTTACCACAAAGCTAAAGCAATGAAGAGAGTGATATTGGTGAAGGAATGGACAAACAGCTCAACAGAACACAATACAGAACCCAAAAAACCCGAGTAAATACATTCAATTGATTTTGTCAAAGGGGCAAAAGCAATTCACTGGGGAAAGAAAAGTCTGTTCCACAAATGGCAATAGACAATCGGAAACCATACGGAAAACACTGAATGTGGACAAAAACTTCATAGCTCACCCCCAAAAAATCACTCAAGATAGTCTGTAGCCTTAAATGATCAAATATAAAATTGTAAAAGTTTTATAGAAGAAAATCCACGTGACTTTGGGTTGGTGATGAGTTCTTAGATACAATACCAAAAGCCAGTCCATAAAAGAAAAAAAATGATAATTTGGACATCATTAAAATTTAAAATGACTACTCTGTGAAATATCCTGTTAAGAGAATCAAAAAATAAGGCACACACTGAGAGAAAATATTTATAAAACAAGCCTGAAAAAAAGACTTGCATGCAAAATATACAAAGACATTCTAATACTCAACAAGAAGAAAAACAACCCAATTAAAAGATAAAGACATGGAATAGGAACAGCTCCAGTCTACAGCTCCCAGCCTGAGTGACGCAGAAGATGGGTGATTTCTGCATTTCCAACTGTGGTACTGGGTTCATCTCACTGGGGCTTGTCAGACAGTGGGTGCAGCCCACAAGCTTGAGCCGAAGCAGGGCGAGACATCGCCTTCACCCGGGAAGCACAAGGGGTCAGGGAATTCCCTTTTCCTAGCCAAGGGAAGCTGTGACAGATGGCACCTGGAAAATAGGGTCACTCCCACCCTAATACTGGCGCTTTTCCAACGGTCTTAGCAAACCGCACACCAGGAGATTATATCCCACGCCTGGGCTCGGAGGGTCCCACACCCACGGAGCCTCGCTCATTGCTAGCACAGCAGTCTGAGATTGAACTGCAAGGTGGCAGCAAGGCTGGTGGAGGGGTGCCCGCCATTGCTGAGGCTTGAGTAGGTAAACAAAGTGGCTGGGAAGCTTGAACTGGGTGGAACCCACCACAGCTCAAGGAGGCCTGCCTGCCTCTGTCAGACTCCACTTCTGGGGCCAGGGCATAGTCGAACAAAAGGCAACGGAAATCTCTGCAGACTTAAATGTCCCTGTCTGACAGCTTTGAAGAGAGTAGTGGTTCTCCAAGCACGGAGTTTGAGATCTGAGAACAGACAAACTGCCTCCTCAAGTGGGTCCCTGACCCCCGGGTAGCCTATCTGGGAGGTACCCCCCAGTAGGGGCAGACTGACACCTCACATTGCCGGGTACCCCTCTGAGACCAAGCTTCCAGAGGAACGATCGGGCAGCAACATTTGGTGTTCAGCAATATTCACTCTTCTGCAGCCTCCACTGCTGATACCCAGGCAAACAGGGTCTGGAGTGGACCTCCAGCAAACTCCAACAGACCTGCAGCTGAGGGTCCTGACTGTTAGAAGGAAAACTAACAAACAGAAAGGACATCCACACAAAAACCCCATCTGTACGTCACCATCATCAGAGACCAAAGGTAGATAAAACCACAAAGATAGGGAAAAAACAGAGCAGAAAAACTGAAAATTCTAAAAATCAGAGCGCCTCTCTTCCTCCAAAGGAACAAAGCTCCTCACCAACAATGGAACAAAGGTGGACGGAGAATGACTTTGACGAGTTGAGAAAAGAAGGCTTCAGATGATCAAACTTCTCCGAGCTAAAGGACGAAGTTCGAACCCAGTGCAAAGAAGTTAAAGACCTTGAAAAAAAGATTAGATGAATGGCTAACTAGAATAACCAATGCAGAGAAGTCCTGATGGAGGTGAAAACCATGGCACGAGAACTATGTGACGAATGCACAAGCTTTAGTAGCCGATGCGATCAACTGGAAGAAAGGGTATCAGTGATTGAAGATCAAATGAATGAAATCGGGGTCAGGGTCAAGGGTCAGGGTCAGGGTCAGGGTCAAGGGTCAGGGTCAGGGGTCAGGGTCAGGGTGAGGGTCAGGGTCAGGGTCAGGGTGAGGGTCAGGGTCAGAGTCAGGGTCAGGGTGAGGGTCAGGGTCAGGGTCAGGGTGAGGGTCAGGGTAGGGTGAGGGTCAGGGTGAGGGTGAGGGTCAGGGTGAGGGTCGGGGTTAGGGTTCAGGGTCGGGGTTAGGGTTCAGGGTCCGGGTTAGGGTTCAGGGTCCGGGTCAGGGTTAGGGTCAGGGTCAGGGTTAGGGTCAGGGTCAGGGTTAGGGTCAGGGTTTTAGGGTCAGGGTTTTAGGGTCAGGGTCAGGGTGAGGGTCAGGGTCAGGGTGAGGACCCTTTACAGCAGATGAAGGCCTCTCCCCAGCCAGAAAAGATGGAGCACACGCTGGGTGGTGGCCCCGCTTCCTCACTGGAAGGAGATGGTGCTCTTCTTTTTTCTTTCTGAATTGTGGCCACCTTCATACCAGTCTGTCATGGAACACTTAAGCCGCTTGAGTGCCTGCTGGTACTCCCAGCCCTGCCATGCCTGAGCCCCCTGCACACAAGGAGCCAGGAGTAATCAGGGCAGACCCATTAGGGCACGGGGACTTCTGGATTGTGAAATTGGCTCTCTGGGGGCCAAGGCCTTCTAACGTTGGTGGAAGTGGCTTTGGCTTATTGGGTCGGATTCTAGGCCATTCGTTCCAACCTTTAGAGACATCCCAGCTTTCCCTAGCCCAGAGTCTGCAGCCCCTCCACCATCCCACATCCTCCCCCTCCCTTTCCTCATGAACCCCAGTCGCGCCTCTGCCTTCTCAAACCCCTCCACCATCCCACACCCTCCTCCTGCCCTTCCTCATGAACCCCAGTCACGCCTCTGCCTTCTCATCCCTGCGCGCCACACAGGCTCGCTCGTGCCCGGTGAATGCTGAGGCTGCTCTGCACGTGGAGTGTGGCCCTGTGGGCAAGGGCTGGGCTCTTGGAGGTAGGGGAGCTACAGGGGCGACTGGGAGGAGGATGTTGTGTTACACACGCATCAGAGTTAACTTTGCAGTGAGAGCAGCCTTGCTGCGGCCAAAGAACATGGAAAAGCATGAGTGGGGTGATGTGCCTTAAAGCATCAGACACTTGGGCCTCGGGCATCAGGAGCCAGCCACAGGGATGTCTGGGGAAATGGCGTTCCATGAGATGCAAGCACACAAGAATGCACTTGGCACATCTGGGGAACAGCAGGCAGCTGATATCACTGGGCCCACCCCGCACCAGGGAGGATGGAAGCAGGTGAGGAGCTAGACCACACTGAGGCGGTGGTCGGGACTCAGAGTTTGCTCAGTGAGCCGTTCACTAGGTGCAGGGGCAGTTCCCCGTCTGAATTTAGGTGACGACACTCAGGTCCAGCCTTGCCAGTCTCAGCCTCCGGTCTCCGTTCCCCCTCTGCAGAGGTCACTTTGTCTGCTGCACGTGATTATGAGGGGTTGTGAAGTGCTTGCCCCATCAGTAGCCAGTGTGCATGTGTAAATACCATCCTCTGTGTGCCCTGGAGGCTGTCCTTCAGATAGCATGTACAGGTGGCAGCATAGGGCCTGTCCCTAGTGAGAGTGCAGGGAACTCAGCACCGTCAACTCCTCGACCCTGCAGGTCAGATTATCCTTGTAGAGGCCCCCTGGATGGCACCAAGATCGGCCCTGGCAAGCAGGTGACCCTGACTTCAGAGCCCTTGCCTGAGGGCCTGGCCTGGCAGCTCTGCTGTTAGAAGCAGGAGGTGTGCAGGGGGTGGGGAGCAGCCCAGCCTCTGTGATCTTCTCCATGGCAGGATCTCCCAGCAGGTAGAGCAGAGCCGGAGCCAGGTGCAGGCCATTGGAGAGAAGGTCTCCTTGGCCCAGGCCAAGATTGAGAAGATCAAGGGCAGCAAGAAGGCCATCAAGGTAGTCCCCATACCCCTGTGTCCTGAGGCTACTGGGCAGTCCCTCCATTTCCCCATGCCTCTGAGGCCGCCCATTCTCTGCCCTGCTGCCCACCTGTACCTTGGGCTTTCTTCTCGCCCAGGCTTCCAACTCCACCCTCTCCTGCCAAGCAATCCTAGCCCTCTGAGCCTCTTAGGGCCCCCTCAGACTTGTCCCTGTGTCCACAGGTGTTCTCCAGTGCCAAGTACCCTGCTCCAGAGCGCCTGCAGGAATATGGCTCCATCTTCACGGGCGCCCAGGACCCTGGCCTGCAGAGACGCCCCCGCCACAGGATCCAGAGCAAGCACCGCCCCCTGGACGAGCGGGCCCTGCAGGTCTGCTGGCTGCGCACATAACTTAGCCTGTCACACACCAGGAGGACTGGATACTGGGGAGGAGCCGGGGCCACCATAGGGTTCTGTCCCCCAGAGGAGGCTGACTGGGATGGGGTGGCAGCTGATTAGGCCCAGCACCAAATATTCACCATCCCTTGGCCATCCTGGCCCTCTCAGGAGAAGCTGAAGGACTTTCCTGTGTGCGTGAGCACCAAGCCGGAGCCCGAGGACGATGCAGAAGAGGGACTTGGGGGTCTTCCCAGCAACATCAGCTCTGTCAGCTCCTTGCTGCTTTTCAACACCACCGAGAACCTGTATGGCCAGAAGGCAGGGCCGAGGGGTGTGGGCGGGAGGCCCGGCCTGGCTTAGTGGGGACCCAGGGCATCAGACACAGGTACAGCACATAGGCCAGGAGCCAGGGGGTGACTGGGGTGGCTCGGCTCGGGAGGCCTGGGACCCCACAGTGCACGCTGTGCCCCTGATGATGTGGGAGAGGAACATGGGCTCAGGACAGCGGGTGTCAGCTTGCCTGACCCCCATGTCGCCTCCGTAGGTACAAGAAGTATGTCTTCCTGGACCCCCTGGCTGGTGCTGTAACAAAGACCCATGTGATGCTGGGGGCAGAGACAGAGGAGAAGCTGTTTGATGCCCCCTTGTCCATCAGCAAGAGAGAGCAGCTGGAACAGCAGGTGGGAGGGGTGGGACAGAGGTGGAGACAGGTGCAGTGGCCCAGGGCCTTGCCAGAGCTCTTCTCCAGTCAAGGCTGTTGGGCCCCTTATTCCACCCATGGGAGGTGCACACAAGGTCTTGTTGGCTGCCCCTGCAGGTCCCTGTCACCTCTCACATGTCCCTGCCTAATCTTGCAGGTCCCAGAGAACTACTTCTATGTGCCAGACCTGGGCCAGGTGCCTGAGATTGATGTTCCATCCTACCTGCCTGACCTGCCCAGCATTGCCAACGACCTCATGTACAGTGCCGACCTGGGCCCCGGCATTGCCCCCTCTGCCCCTGGCACCATTCCGGAACTGCCCACCTTCCACACTGAGGTAGCCGAGCCTCTCAAGGCAGGTGAGCTGGGTTCTGGGATGGGAGCTGGGCCGGGGACCTCCCTGCTGACACACCTTCTTCCCTAGACACCCCGCACTTTGTGTTTCAGACCTACAAGATGGGGTACTAACACCACCCCCACCGCCCCCACCACCACCCCCAGCTCCTGAGGTGCTGGCCAGTGCACCCCCACTCCCACCCTCAACCGCGGCCCCTGTAGGCCAAGGCGCCAGGCAGGACGACGGCAGCAGCAGCGCGTCTCCTTCAGGTGGGAGCAGCTCTTTGAGGCCACCTGATTTCTGGCGTGCTCAGTGCACTCGGGTGGATTTTCTGTGGGTTTGTTAAGTGGTCAGAAATTCTCAATTTTTTGAATAGTTTCCATTTCAAATATCTTGTTCTACTTGGTCCATAAAATAGTGGCTTTCAAACTGTAGAGCTCTGGACTTCTCACTTCTAGGGCAGAGGGAACCTGAACAAGTGAGGCTCTGGGTTCCCCATTCCTAATTAAACCAATGGAAAGAAGGGGTCTAATAACAAACTACAGCAACACATTTTTCATTTCAGCTTCACTGCTGTATCTCCCAGTGTAACCCTAGCATCCAGAAGTGGCACAAAACCCCTCTGCTGGCTCATGTGTGCAACTGAGACTGTCAGAGCATGGCTAGCTCAGGGGTCCAGCTCTGCAGGGTGGGGGCTAGAGAGGAAGCAGGGAGTATCTGCACACAGGATGCCCGCGCTCAGGTGGTTGCAGAAGTCAGTGCCCAGGCCCCCCCACACAGTCTCCAAAGGTCCGGCCTCCCCAGCGCGGGGCTCCTCGTTTGAGGGGAGGTGACTTCCCTCCCAGCAGGCTCTTGGACACAGTAAGCTTCCCCAGCCCTGCCTGAGCAGCCTTTCCTCCTTGCCCTGTTCCCCACCTCCCGGCTCCAGTCCAGGGAGCTCCCAGGGAAGTGGTCGACCCCTCCGGTGGCTGGGCCACTCTGCTAGAGTCCATCCGCCAAGCTGGGGGCATCGGCAAGGCCAAGCTGCGCAGCATGAAGGAGCGAAAGCTGGAGAAGAAGAAGCAGAAGGAGCAGGAGCAAGGTGAGCGGGCCCTGGAGCCTGCGGTCGGAGGGCCTTGGGCAAGATCGCCTCCTCCCCTCCAGCCCTGAGTCCACTGGGTGCTTTCTGCCCACCCCCTGCTCTTGCCAGCTGGCCCCTGCTTCCCCTAGGGCACATGCTGGAAGCCCTGGGCCGCCACCAGAAGTCCTCAGCCCTCCTGCCTGGGCTATGGCTCCTTCCTGGTTTGGGAGCCATAGTGAAGCTTTCCTCTCTAAGCTCACCCAGCCCAAACTGTGACAGGAGAATCTTCTTCGACTGCCAAGAGCGGTCCAAGGCAATGGTCAGCCACTGCAGCCCCCTGAGATATTTTTAGAGACTGGACCTGAGGCCTCTGGAGGCTACTGATGATGCCTGCTGTGAACGCAGACACTGGTGTGATGCGATGCCTGCGCCTGCAGCGGCAGTGCCCTGGGCACTATGGTTTTGAGCTTGTACCCAGCGCTGCTTTTGCCTTGCTCTGTGACCCCAGGCAAGCTGCCTCACCTCTCTGGGCCAGTTTCCCCATCGTACAGTGGTGCTGCACACCCTGGCCCTGGCCCCGAGGTGGCTGGGAGGTGGCTCCTCAAACAGCCGCTTTCTCATCAGTGCCCGGTGCTGGGTCAGGGATCGACTGAGGCTCTGAGCTAACTAGGAAACACAGTGGCCTTGGAGGGCTGGGGAGTGTCATGGGGGTGGGGACAGGGAGCCACCGGTCGCATGTGACTGAACTCTTCACCCCAGTCTGTGGCTTTCCCGTTGCAGTGAGAGCCACGAGCCAAGGTGGGCACTTGATGTCGGATCTCTTCAACAAGCTGGTCATGAGGCGCAAGGGTAGGAGGCAGGGCCGCTGCCCGCCCTGGGTCGGCACCTTGTAATTCTGTCCTGCCTTTTTCTTCCTGTATTTAAGTCTCCGGGGGCTGGGGGAATCAGGGTTTCCCACCAACCACCCTCACTCAGCCTTTTCCCTCCAGGCATCTCTGGGAAAGGACCTGGGGCTGGTGAGGGGCCCGGAGGAGCCTTTGCCCGCGTGTCAGACTCCATCCCTCCTGTGCCCCCACCGCAACAGCCACAGGCAGAGGAGGACGAGGACGACTGGGAATCCTAGGGGGCTCCATGACACCTTCCCCCCCAGACCCAGACTTGGGCTGTTGCTCTGACATGGACACAGCCAGGACAAGCTGCTCAGACCTGCTTCCCTGGGAGGGGGTGACGGAACCAGCACTGTGTGGAGACCAGCTTCAAGGAGCGGAAGGCTGGCTTGAGGCCACACAGCTGGGGCGGGGACTTCTGTCTGCCTGTGCTCCATGGGGGGACGGCTCCACCCAGCCTGCGCCACTGTGTTCTTAAGAGGCTTCCAGAGAAAACGGCACACCAATCAATAAAGAACTGAGCAGAAACCAACAGTGTGCTTTTAATAAAGGACCTCTAGCTGTGCAGGATGCAAACGTCTCGGGGTCAGTGACTGCCTCCTGCCCCTGTTGGTCCCTAGGCAGTGGGGGCAGAAGCTCCCAGCTGACCTGTTTCTCTGGGAGAGAAGGGCAGTCAGCAGGGGCAGCTGTTGCAGATGGGAGGAATAGTCTCCCACAAAAAAGGTTTCAGTGACAGACACGGGGTCTCTAAAAATAGTCATGCTGAGAGCCCAATGGCCCTTGGCACAATTGCTGGTGTTGGGGTAGAAGATGTCTTGGAGTTTGCTCAAGTGGTTGAGAGGGAGGGAGGTGCCATCAACTTGGAGGAACTGGCACCAAGCCAGGGAGATAGAAATCCAGGCAAGGCTGTGGGGCAGGTTAGGGAGCAAGGCTGCAGGGGTGACTCAGGAAGAAGGTGGGGGAGGTGACAAGCCCCCAGGCAGGGGCCCTGTGGCCATGGGGATCTTTTTAAATTGAGACTAGGGGGTGAATAGTCCAGGGCAGCTAACTTTAGTTATTATAGAAAGGGCAGTAGCAGATGGGTCTGCTCCGTCTCGCTTCTAAGAAGGTGGGCAGGACAAATGGCAGCCTCCTGCAGAGGCCCAGTGAGAAGCCTGGCCCTCGGCCACACAGGATGGAAGACAGATTGGATTCCACAGAGGGGAGCTGCCCTGGGAAGATCTCACGGATGGCCAGGACCCACCATTTCTTCGGGGTTCCCCTGTTTTCTCCAACGGGCACTAATGCCTGTGCCTGGGTCCTGGCAACACTCTGGACTCCACACTCTTCTGGGTTTCACCTTTGTAGCAGGATCCCTGCAGATCAGGCCCATGACAAACACCGTCTCCAGCGGGCAGAGCAAAGGAAGGGCGCAGCGCCAGGCAGTGGTGCAGCTGCCTGTCAGGAAGAGGCCTACTTCTGGTGAAACTGGGCAGACAAAAGGCAGTGAGAAATGTGATCTCGGGGTGGTGGAGGCTCTAGGGAAAGGAAAAGGCAGGAGTGAACTTCCACACAGCAGCAATGGCAGAACCAAAGGTGGCTTTGACCTCCACGAGGGCTCAGATCCAGGCCAACAGCTTGTCCAGGACAGGGTGCCGGGTGTATCACTAATCCAGGAGCACTATGCTGGCAGAATCCCTTTGGTGCCTGATGGCCCTGCCTTCGTGGGAACAGAGGCTAAGGCTTTGAGTTACAGCTGCCTCCCCAACAGTGCATCCCCTTCTCCTTCCTCAGCCTCAGGTAGGAGACAGGGCAGGCAACCCCCCTTTCCTCTTCTCCCCTTCTCCAGCCCCTGTCTGTCCACCCAGCTGGAGGCAGCCAGGCTTGCCTATGGACTGGTTGACAGCCTTCATGCACAGGTTCTCCACCAGAGCCTTTCTTGGGGGCCCCTGGCTGGGCTCTGAGCTGGGAGTGAAGGGGATGACCCATGCGGACTGTTTGCTGCTTGTAGCTTTCCCTGGGAAAGACTCTGCCAGGCCTTGGAGCCAGACCAGGAGGCTTTATAGGCCACTGCAAGCAGCAGGGCTCCAGATGACATCACAGGGAATATCAAGAGGGTGTGGAGGGGCATCGAAGCCTCTCCAGGAGACAGGAGACGCCGGCCCAGTAGAGCCCTAGGGGCGACGCCACTCCCACTCACTGTCTACTCTCCTCTCACCTCTGCAACACTGGGGACACTCACAAGATTGTGATCCAAGTCGGCCGTCGTCTTCTGCAGCTCTGGAGACCTGATGCTGGGGAAGGGCATGCCTGGCATCACCACACACCTGGGAGGAGACAGGAGCCTGGGGCCGGTGGGCCCACACATCACCAGCTGCTCCGTTCTACCATTTCTTCAGCCCTCTTGGCTGTGCCTGCGGCTCTGCCCCTCCCCTCTCTGCACCTACCACCCAGAGAGGGCTTGTTGAGCTCAGAGATCCCACCTAGGCCAATCCACTGGGTTCTGTGGCAGCGATGGCCTGCCTGATCTTCCACCTGCTCTCCCAGGGCCAAAGCCAGACCTGCTGAGCCCCTCCCTCCAGCCGGCTGGTCTGAGCAGTCACAGCCCGGCTTTGGGCTCCGATGGCAGCAGATGGCAGGTAGGGGTCCAGCTGCTGGAGCGAGGGCCGGCCACGTATCACAGCCAAGGAGATGAGCACAAGCACTACTTACTGGCCTAGGTTGTCAGAGAAGTTGATGCTCTCACTCATCTTTCCTCCAATCTTTCCCCTATGCCTGGTTGTGGTATTAAGTTACATGCAGACAACAGGGGCCAGAAGATGAACAATGGCCCATCCCACTCTAGGCATGGCTCCTCTCCACAGGAAAACTCCACTCCAGTGCTCAGCTTGCACCCTGGCACAGGCCAGCAGTTGCTGGAAGTCAGACACCTGCAGATCAAGACCACAGCATCAAGACCCTGTGACCTCTCAAAGGCCTGGTGGAAAGGACACGGGAAGTCTGGGCTAAGAGACAGCAAATACACATGAACAGAAAGAAGAGGTCAAAGAAAAGGCTGACGGCAAGTTAACAAAAAGAAAAATGGTGAATGATACCCGGTGCTGGCAATCTCGTTTAAACTACATGCAGGAACAGCAAAGGAAATCCGGCAAATTTGCGCAGTCATTCTCAACACCGGCCATGCAGCAAAATCATCAGTGGAAATTTAAAAAAATACACGTGGCCAGGCCCCAGCCCAAATCACTAATAAGAATCTCCAGGGCTTCACCTGTTAGACTGGCAAAAAATCCAAAAGTAAACACTTTGTGGAGAAACAGGCACTCCTAGACATTGCTGGTGGGATACAGAACAGTACAATTCTGATGGTAATCAGTTAACAAATTAAACATATTTATTTTATACTTTTAAACCCAGGAATCCCATATTTAGGAGTCTACTGAGACCAAACAGCATATGCTCCTGGTGTTTCCCTATAATCCGCCACTACTGTTGGAGCAAGAGGGCCCAGCAGTGTCCCCAGCTGCCAGCAGGCGGGCGTGCTGCCAGTACACCTTGAGCAAGAGGACCCTGCAATGTCCGTAGCTGCCAGCAGGCGGCGTGCCACCACTATACAGTAAGCAAGAGGACCCTGCAGTGCCCCGGCGCCACGAGGGGGCGGTGGCCACCACTCTAAGCAAGAGAGCCCTGCAGTTGCCCTAGTCGCCAGCAGGGGGCGCCCTGGCACAGCACCGTGAGCAAGCGGGTCCTGTAGTGCCCGGCTGCAAGCAAGGGGCGGTCGATCCCGGCTTTTCGGATTACTGAAGTTCCACCCGTCTCTGCGCCGCGCCGCCGTGACGTGAGTTTCTGCGCGTGCACGGCGCCCCCGCACCCCCCCGCCCCCAGCCCGGCGCCGTGCGACTTTGCTCCTGCAACACACGCACCCCCAACCCCCGCCCGTAGGCGTGCGTCTCTGCGCCTGCGCCACGCCTCCACCCCTGGACGCGCTAGCATGTGTCTCTGCGCCTGCGCCGGCGCGGCGCGCCTCTCTGCGCCTGCGCCGGCGCGGCGCGCCTCTCTGCGCCTGCGCCGGCGCGGCGCGCCTCTCTGCGCCTGCGCCGGCGCGGCGCGCCTCTCTGCGCCTGCGCCGGCGCGGCGCGCCTCTCTGCGCCTGCGCCGGCGCGGCGCGCCTCTCTGCGCCTGCGCCGGCGCGGCGCGCCTCTCTGCGCCTGCGCCGGCGCGGCGCGCCTCTCTGCGCCTGCGCCGGCGCGGCGCGCCTTTGCGACGGCCGAGTTGCGTTCTCGTCAGCACAGAGCGGCAGAGCACCGCGAGGGCGGAGCTGCGTTGTCCTCTGCACAGATTTCGGTGGTACTGCGAAGGCGGAGCAGAGTTCTCCTCAGGTCAGACCCGGGCGGGCGGGCTGAGGGTACCGCGAGGGCGGAGCTGCGTTCTGCTCAGTACAGACCTGGGGGTCACCGTAAAGGTGGAGCAGCATTCCCCTAAGCACAGACGTTGGGGCCACTGACTGGCTTTGGGACAACTCGGGGCGCATCAACGGTGAATAAAAATGTTTCCCGGTTGCAGCCATGAATAATCAAGGTGAGAGACCAGTTAGAGCGGTTCAGTGCGGAAAACGGGAAAGCAAAAGCCCCTCTGAATGCTGCGCACCGAGATTCTCCCAAGGCAAGGGGAGGGGCTGCATTGCAGGGTCCACTTGCAGCGTCGGAACGCAAATGCAGCATTCCTAATGCACACATGATACCCAAAATATAACACCCACATTCCTCATGTGCTTAGGGTGAGGGTGAGGGTTGGGGTTGGGGTTGCGGTTGGGGTTGGGGTTGGGGTTGGGGTTGGGGTTAGGGTTTGGGTTTAGGGTTGGGGTAGGGGTAGGGGTGGGGTTGGGGTTGGGGTTGGGGTTGGGGTTAGGGGTTGGGGTTGGGGTTGGGGTTGGGGTTGGGGTTAGGGTTAAGGGTTAGGGTTAGGGGTTAGGGGTTAGGGTTGGGGTTGGGGTTAGGGTTAGGGTAGGGTTAGGGTTAGGGTTAGGGGTTAGGGGTTAGGGTAGGGTTAGGGTGAGGGTGAGGGTGAGGGTGAGGGTGAGGGTGAGGGTTAGGGTTAGGGTTAGGGTTAGGGTTAGGGGTTAGGGGTTAGGGTTAGGGTTAGGGGTTAGGGGTTAGGGTTAGGGTTAGGGGTTAGGGTTAGGGTTAGGGGTTAGGGGTTAGGGGTTAGGGGTTAGGGTAGGGTAGGGTAGGGTAGGGAGGGTTAGGGTTAGGGTTAGGGTTAGGGTTAGGGTTAGGGTTAGGGTTAGGGTTAGGGTTAGGGTTAGGGTTAGGGTTAGGGTTAGGGTTAGGGTTAGGGTTAGGGTTAGGGTTAGGGTTAGGGTTAGGGTTAGGGTTAGGGTTAGGGTTAGGGTTAGGGTTAGGGTTAGGGTTAGGGTTAGGGTTAGGGTTAGGGTTAGGGTTAGGGTTAGGGTTAGGGTTAGGGTTAGGGTTAGGGTTAGGGTTAGGGTTAGGGTTAGGGTGAGGGTTAGGGTTAGGGTTAGGGTTAGGGTTAGGGTTAGGGTTAGGGTTAGGGTTAGGGTTAGGGTTAGGGTTAGGGTTAGGGTTAGGGTTAGGGTTAGGGTTAGGGTTAGGGTTAGGGTTAGGGGTTAGGGGTTAGGGGTTAGGGGTTAGGGGTTAGGGGTTAGGGTTAGGGTTAGGGTTAGGGTGTGGTGTGTGGGTGTGTGTGGGTGTGGTGTGTGTGGGTGTGGTGTGTGGGTGTGGGTGTGGGTGTGGGTGTGTGGGTGTGGTGTGTGGGTGTGGT
>NT_187395.1:0-37240 GCF_000001405.40 Homo sapiens
TAATAAATTTTGAAGAAAATGAAGACTGTGTTCTCAGTTCCAGGTGCTTCATCAGGCTCATTGTGGATCCAGACTACCAGACACAAGACATTACACATTGTAATGCATTAAATGCATAGTTTTAACAGTAATAATTTAAAAGAGATTTAGAATTTTATAATGTTTGGAAAAATACATAGAGGCTTACTTTTTATTTTATTTTTTTGAGATAGGAAGCCTTTTTTTTTGTTTTTGTTTTTGTTTCTGTTTTTGTTTTTTGAGACAGAGTCTCACCATGTCACCCAGACTGGAGTGCAGTGGTGCAATATCGGCCCATTGCAAGCTCCACATCCCAGGTTCACACCATTCTCCTGCCTCAGCCTCCCAAGTAGCTGGGACTACAGGTGCCCGCCACCACATCCAGCTAATTTTTTTTTGTACTTTTAGTAGAGACGGGGTATCACCATGTGAGCCAAGATGGTCTCCATCTCCTGACCTCGTGATCTGCCCACCTTGGCCTCCCAAAGTGCTGGGATTACAGGGGTGAGCCACCACGCCCAGGCATAGAGGCACTTTTAACCATAAATGAACACTGTTATGATTTGTATTACCACAGTATCATTATTCTGTCCTGTTTGCCTTACATTTTATTTATTTATTATACTGTAAGTTCTGGGATACATGTGCAGAATGTGCAGGTTTGTTACAGAGATATATGCTTGTTTGCTGCACCTGTCAGTTTTTCATCTACATTAGGTATTTCTCCTAATGCTATTCCCTGTTAGGTCCCCACCCTCCAACAGTCTCCAGTGTTTGATGTTCCCCTCCCTATGTCCATGTATTCTCATTTTACAACTCCCACCTATGAGTGAGAAATTGCAGTGTTTGTGTGTTTGGAACTTATTCCTTCCAGTGGGTTTGTGGTCTCGCTCACTGCAAAAATGAAGCTGTAGACCGTTTCGGTGTGTGTTACAACTCTTAAAGGTGGTGTGTCTGGAGTTTGCTACTTCACATGAGCTCATGGTCTTGCTTACTTCAAGAATGAAGCTGCAGACATTTACGGTGAGTGTTACAGCATTTAAAGCTGTTATGTCCAGAGTTTGTTCCTTAAGATGTGTCCAGAATTTCTTCCTTCAGGCAGGTTCATGGTCCTGCTTAATTCAAGAACGAAGCTGCAGACATTTACGGTGAGTGTTACAGCACTTAAAGGTGTTATGAACACAGATTGTTCCTTCAGATGTGTCCAGAGTTTCTTCCATCTGGCAGGTTCATGGCCTTGCTTACTTCAAGAATGAAGCTGCAGACCTTTACTGTGAGTGTTACAACACTTAAAGGTGTTATGTCCAGAGTTTGTTCCTTCAGATGTGTTCAGAGTTTCTTCCTTCTGGCAGGATCATGGTCTTGCTCACTTCAAGAATAAAACTGTAGAACTTAGTGGTGAGCGTTACAGCACTTAAAGGTGTTACGTCCAGAGTTTGTTCATTCACATGTGTCCAGAGTTTCTTCCTTCTGGCAGGTTCATGGTCTTGCTCACTTCAAGAATGAAGCTGCAGACCTTAGTGGTGAGTGTTACAGCACTTAATGGTGTTATGTTCAGAGATTGTTCATTCAGATGTGTCCGTAGTTTCTTCCTTCTGGCAGGTTCATGGTCTTGCTCACTTCAAGAATGAAGCTGCAAAGCTAAGTGTTGAGTGTTACAGCACTTAAAGGTGTTATGTCCAGAGTTTCTTCCTTCAGATGTGTCCAGAGTTTCTTCCTTCTGGCTGGCTCAAGGTCCTGCTTAATTCAAGAATGAAGCTGCAGACCTTAGTGGTGAGTGTTACAGCACTTAAAGGTGTTATGTCCAGAGTTTCTTCCTTCAGATGTGTCCAGAGTTTCCTCCTTCTTGCAGGTTCATGGTCTTGCTTACTTCAAGAATGAAGCTGCAGACATTAGTGGTGACTGTTACAGCACTTAAAGGTGTTATGTCCAGAGTTTGTTCCTTCAGATGTGTCCAGAGTTTCTTCCTTATGGCAGGTTCATGGTCTTGCTCACTTCAAGAAAGAAGCTGAAGACCTTTACGGTGAGTGTTACAGCACCTAAAGGTGTTATGTCCAGAGTTTCTTCCTTCAGATGTGCCCAGAGTTTCTTCCTTCTGGCAGGTTCATGGACTTGCTCACTTCAAGAATGAAGCTGCAAACCTTTACGGTGAGTGTTACAAAACTTAAAGGTGTTATGTCCAGAGATTTTTCCTTCAGATGTGTTCAGAGTTTCTTCCTTCTGGCAGGTTCATGGTCTTGCTCACTTCAAGAATGAAGCTGCAGACCTTTACGGTGAGTGTTACAGCACCTAAAGGTGTTATGTCCAGAGCTTGTTCCTTCAGATGTGCCCAGAGTTTCTTCCTTCTGGAAGGTTAATGGACTTGCTCACTTCAAGAATGAAGCTGCAGACCTTAGTGGTGAGTGTTACAGCACTTAAAGGTGTTATGTCCAGAGATTGTTACTTCAGATGTGTCCGGACTTTCTTCCTTCTGGCAGGTTCATGGTCTTTCTCACTTCAAGAATGAAGCTGCAGACCTTAGTGGTGAGTGTTACAGCATTTAAAGGTGTTATGTCCAGAGTTTGTTCCTTCAGATGTGTCCAGACTTTCTTCCTTCTGGCAGGTTCATGGTCTTCTCACTTCAAGAATGAAGCTGCAGACATTTACGGTGAGTGTTACAGCACCTAAAGTTGTTATGTCCAGAGTTTGTTCCTTCAGATGTGCCCAGAGATTCTTGCTTCTGGTAGATTCATGGTCTTGCTCACTTCAAGAATGAAACTGCAAACCTTTACGGTGAGTGTTACAACACTTAAAGGTGTTATGTCCAGAGTTTGTTCCTTCAGATGTGTTCAGAGTTTCTTCCTTCTGGCAGGTTCATGATCTTGCTCACTTCAAGAATGAAGCTGCAGAAGTTAGTTGTGAGTGTTACAGCGCTTAAAGGTGTTATGTCCAGAGGTTCTTCATTCAGATGTGTCCGGAGTTTCTTCGGTCTGGCAGGTTCATGGTCTTGCTCACTTCAAGAATGAAGCTGCAGACCTTAGTAGTGAGTGTTACAGCACTTAAAGGTGTTATGTCCAGAGTTTGTTCATTTAGATGTGTCAAGAGTTTCTTCCTCCTGGCAGGTTCATGGTCTTGCTCACTTCAAGAATGAAGCTGCAGACCTTAGTGGTGAGTCCCACAGCACTTAAAGGTGTTATGTCCAGAGTTTGTTCATTCAGATGTGTCCGGAGTTTCTTCCTTGTGGCAGGTTCATGGTCTTGTTCTCTTCAAGAATGAAGCTGCAGAAATTAGTGGTGAGTGTTACAGCACTTATAGGTGTTATGTCCAGAGTTTATTCCTTCAGATGTGTCCAGAGTTTCCTCCTTCTGGCAGGTTCATGGTCTTGCTGACTTCAAGAATAAAGCTGCAGACCTGTACGGTGAGTGTTACAGCACTTAAAGGTGTTATGTCCATAGTTTGTTCCTTCAGATGTGTCCAGAGTCAATTCCTTCTGGCAGGCTCATGGTCCTGCTCACTTGAAGAATGAAGCTGCAGACCTCACTGGTGAGTGTTACAGCACTTAAAGTTGTTATGTCCTGAGTTTGTTCATGCAGATGTGACCGGAGTTTCTTTCTTCTGGCAGGTTCATGGTCTTGCTCACCTCAAGAATGAAGCTGCAGACCTTAGTGGTGAGTGTTACAGCACTTAAAGGTGTTATGTAGAGAGTTTGTTACTTCATATGTGTCCAGAGTTTCTTCATTCTGGCAGATTCATGGTCTTGCTCACTTCAATAATGAAGCTGCATACCTTTACGGTGAGTGTTACAGCACTTAAAGGTGTTAGGTCCAGAGTTTGTTCCTTCAGATGTGCCCAGAGATTCTTGCTTCTGGTAGATTCATGGTCTTGCTCACTTCAAGAATGAAACTGTAAACCTTTACGGTGAGTGTTACAACACTTAAAGGTGTTATGTCCAGAGTTTGTTCCTTCAGATGTGTTCAGAGTTTCTTCCTTCTGGCAGGTTCATCATCTTGCTCACTTCAAGAATGAAGCTGCAGAAGTTAGTTGTGAGTGTTACAGCGCTTAAAGGTGTTATGTCCAGAGGTTCTTCATTCAGATGTGTCCGGAGTTTCTTCCGTCTGGCAGGTTCATGGTCTTGCTCACTTCAAGAACGAAGCTGCAGACCTTAGTGGTGAGTGTTACAGCACTTAAAGGTGTTATGTCCAGAGTTTGTTCATTTAGATGTGTCCAGAGTTTCTTCCTTCTGGCAGGTTCATGGTCTTGCTCACTTCAAGAATGAAGCTGCAGACCTTTACGGTGAGTGTTACAGCACTTAAAGGTGTTAGGTCTAGAGTTTGTTCCTTCAGATGTGTCCAGATATTCTTCCTTCTGGCAGGTTCATGGTCTTACTCACTTCAAGAATGAAGCTGCAGACCTTAGTGGTGAGTCTCACAGCACTTAAAGGTGTTATGTCCAGAGTTTGTTCATTCAGATGTGTCCGGAGTTTCTTCCTTGTGGCAGGTTCATGGTCTTGTTCTCTTCAAGAATGAAGCTGCAGAAATTAGTGGTGAGTGTTACAGCACTTATAGGTGTTATGTCCAGAGTTTGTTCCTTCAGATGTGTCCAGAGTTTCCTCCTTCTGGCAGGTTCATGGTCTTGCTGACTTCAAGAATAAAGCTGCAGACCTGTACGGTGAGTGTTACAGCACTTAAAGGTGTTATGTCCATAGTTTGTTCCTTCAGATGTGTCCAGAGTTTCTTCCTTCTGTCAGGTTCATGGTCTTGCTCACTTCAAGAATGAAGCTGCAGACATTTACGGTGAGTGTTACAGCACCTAAAGGTGTTATGTCCAGAGTTTGTTCCTTCAGATGTGCCCAGAGTTTCTTGCTTCTGGCAGATTCATGGTCTTGCTCACTTCAAGAATGAAGCTGCAAACCTTTACGGTGAGTGTTTCAACACTTAAAGGTGTTATGTCCAGAGTTTTTTCCTTCAGATGTGTACAGAGTTTCTTCCTTCTGGCAGGTTCATGATCTTGCTCACTTCAAGAATGAAGCTGCAGAAGTTAGTTGTGAGTGTTACAGCGCTGAAAGGTGTTATGTTCAGAGGTTCTTCATTCAGATGTGTCCGGAGTTTCTTCCGTCTGGCAGATTCATGGTCTTGCTCACTTCAAGAATGAAGCTGCAGACCTTAGTGGTGAGTGTTACAGCACTTAAAGGTGTTATGTCCAGAGTTTGTTCATTTAGATGTGTCCAGAGTTTCTTCCTTCTGGCAGGTTCATGGTCTTGCTCACTTCAAGAATGAAGCTGCAGACCTTTACGGTGAGTGTTACAGCACTTAAAGGTGTTAGGTCTAGTGTTTGTTCCTTCAGATGTGTCCAGATATTCTTCCTTCTGGCAGGTTCATGGTCTTGCTCACTTCAAGAATGAAGCCGCAGACCTTAGTGGTGAGTCTCACAGCACTGAAAAGGTGTTATGTCCAGAGTTTGTTCATTCAGATGTGTCCGGAGTTTCTTCCTTCTGGCAGGTTTATGGTCTTGTTCTCTTCAAGAATGAAGCTGCAGAAATTAGTGGTGAGTGTTACAGCACTTATAGGTGTTATGTCCAGAGTTTGTTCCTTCAGATGTGTCCAGAGTTTCCTCCTTCTGGCAGGTTCATGGTCTTGCTGACTTCAAGAATAAAGCTGCAGACCTGTACGGTGAGTGTTACAGCACTTAAAGGTGTTATGTCCATAGTTTGTTCCTTCAGATGTGTCCAGAGTTAATTCCTTCTGGCAGGCTCATGGTCCTGCTCACTTGAAGAATGAAGCTGCAGACCTCACTGGTGAGTGTTACCGCACTTAAAGTTGTTATGTCCTGAGTTTGTTCATGCAGATGTGACCGGAGTTTCTTTCTTCTGGCAGGTTCATGGTCTTGCTCACCTCAAGAATGAAGCTGCAGACCTTAGTGGTGAGTGTTACAGCACTTAAAGGTGTTATGTAGAGAGTTTGTTACTTCATATGTGTCCAGAGTTTCTTCATTCTGGCAGATTCATGGTCTTGCTCACTTCAATAATGAAGCTGCATACCTTTACGGTGAGTGTTACAGCACTTAAAGGTGTTATGTCTAGAGTTTGTTCCTTCAGATGTGTCCAGAGTTTCTTCTTTCTGGCAGGTTCATGGTCGTGCTCACTTCAAGAATGAAACTGCAGACCTTTACGGTGACTGTTACAACACTTAAAGGTGTTAGGTCCAGAGTTTGTTTCTTCAGATGTGTCTAGAGTTTCTTCCTTTTGGCAGGTTCATGGTCTTGCTCACTTCAAGAATGAAGCTGCAGACCTTTACAGTGAGTGTTACAACACGTAAAGATGTTAGTTCCAGAATTTGTTCCTTCAGATGTGTTCAGAGTTTCTTCCTTCTGGCAGGTGCATGGTCTTGCTCACCTCAGGAATGAAGCTGCAGACCTCAGTGGTGAGTGTTACAGCACGTAAAGGTGTTATGTCCAGAGATTGTTAATTCAGATATGTACAGAGTTTCTTCCTTCTGGCAGGTTCATTGTCTTGCTCACTTCAAGAATGAAGCTGCAGACCTTTACGGTGACTGTTACAGCCCTGAAAGGTGTTAGGTCCAGAGTTTGTTCCTTCAGATGTGTCCAGAGTTTCTTCGGTCTGGCAGGTTCATTGTCTTGCTCACTTCAAGAATGAAGCTGCAGACCTTTACGGTGAGTGTTACAGCATATAAAGGTGTTATGTCCACAGCTTGTTCCTTCATATGTGTCCAGAGTTTCTTCCTTCTGGCAGGTTCATGGTCTTGCTCACTTAAAGAATGAAGCTGCAGACGTTAGTGGTTAGTGTTGCAGCACTTAAAGGTGTTATGTCCAGAGATTGTTCATTCAGATGTGTCCGTAGTTTCTTCCTTCTGGCAGGTTCATGGTCTTGCTCACTTCAAGAATGAAGGTTCAGACATTAGTGGTGAGTGTTACAGCACTTAAAAGTGTTATGTCCAGTGATTGTTCATTCAGATGTGTCCGTAGTTTCTTCCTTCTGGCAGGTTCAAGGCCTTGCTCACTTAAAGAATGAAGCTGCAGACCTTAGTGGAGAGTGTTTCAGCACTGAAAGGTGTTATGTCCAGAGTTTGTTCCTTCAGATGTGTCCAGAGTTTCTTCCTTCTGGCAGGTTCATGGTCTTGTTCACTTCAAGAATGAAGCTGCTGACCTTTACGGTGAGTGTTACAGCACTTAAAGGTGTTATGTCTAGAGTTTGTTCCTTCAGATGTGTCCAGAGTTTCTTCCTTCTGGAAGGTTCATGGTCTTGCTCACTTCAAGAATGAAGCTGCAGACCTTAGTGGTGAGTGTTACAGCACTTAAAGGTGTTATGTCCAGAGATCGTTACTTCAGAGGTGTCAGGAGTTTCTTCCTTCTGGCAGGTTCATGGTCTTGCTCAATTCAAGAATGAAGCTGCAGACCTTAGTGGTGAGTGTTACAGCACTTAAAGGTGTTATGTCCAGAGTTTGTTCCTTCAGATGTGTTCAGAGTTTCTTCCTTCTGGCAGGCTCATGGTCCTGCTTAATTCAAGAATGATGCTGCAGACATTTACGGTGAGTGTTACAGCACTTAAAGGTGTTATGTCCAGGGTTTGTTCCTTCAGATGTGTCCAGAGTTTCCTCCTTCTGGCAGGTTCATGGTCTTGCTTATTTCAAGAATGAAGCTGCAGACCTTAGTGGTGAGTGTTACAACACTTAAAGGTGTTATGTCCAGAGTTTGTTCCTTCAGATGTGTCCAGAGTTTCTTCCTTCTGGCAGGTTCATGGTCTTGCTCACTTCAAGAATGAACCTGCACACATTTACGGTGAGCGTTACAGCACCTAAAGGTGTTATGTCCAGAGTTTGTTCCTTCAGATGTGCCCAGAGTTTCTTGCTTCTGGCAGATTCATGGTCTTGCTCACTTCAAGAATGAAGCTGCAAACCTTTACGGTGAGTGTTTCAACACTTAAAGGTGTTATGTCCAGAGTTTTTTCCTTCAGATGTGTACAGAGTTTCTTCCTTCTGGCAGGTTCATGATCTTGCTCACTTCAAGAATGAAGCTGCAGAAGTTAGTTGTGAGTGTTACAGCGCTGAAAGGTGTTATGTTCAGAGGTTCTTCATTCAGATGTGTCCGGAGTTTCTTCCGTCTGGCAGATTCATGGTCTTGCTGACTTCAAAAATGAAGCTGCAGACCTTAGTGGTGAGTGTTACAGCACTTAAAGGTGTTATGTCCAGAGTTTGTTCATTTAGATGTGTCCAGAGTTTCTTCCTTCTGGCAGGTTCATGGTCTTGCTCACTTCAAGAATGAAGCTGCAGACCTTTACGTTGAGTGTTACAGCACTTAAAGGTGTTAGGTCTAGAGTTTGTTCCTTCAGATGTGTCCAGATATTCTTCCTTCTGGCAGGTTCATGGTCTTGCTCACTTCAAGAATGAAGCCGCAGACCTTAGTGGTGAGTCTCACAGCACTGAAAAGGTGTTATGTCCAGAGTTTGTTCATTCAGATGTGTCCGGAGTTTCTTCCTTCTGGCAGGTTCATGGTCTTGTTCTCTTCAAGAATGAAGCTGCAGAAATTAGTGGTGAGTGTTACAGCACTTATAGGTGTTATGTCCAGAGTTTGTTCCTTCAGATGTGTCCAGAGTTTCCTCCTTCTGGCAGGTTCATGGTCTTGCTGACTTCAAGAATAAAGCTGCAGACCTGTACGGTGAGTGTTACAGCACTTAAAGGTGTTATGTCCATAGTTTGTTCCTTCAGATGTGTCCAGAGTTAATTCCTTCTGGCAGGCTCATGGTCCTGCTCACTTGAAGAATGAAGCTGCAGACCTCACTGGTGAGTGTTACAGCACTTAAAGTTGTTATGTCCTGAGTTTGTTCATGCAGATGTGACCGGAGTTTCTTTCTTCTGGCAGGTTCATGGTCTTGCTCACCTCAAGAATGAAGCTGCAGACCTTAGTGGTGAGTGTTACAGCACTTAAAGGTGTTATGTACAGAGTTTGTTACTTCATATGTGTCCAGAGTTTCTTCATTCTGGCAGATTCATGGTCTTGCTCACTTCAATAATGAAGCTGCATACCTTTACGGTGAGTGTTACAGCACTTAAAGGTGTTATGTCTAGAGTTTGTTCCTTCAGATGTGTCCAGAGTTTCTTCCTTCTGGCAGGTTCATGGTCGTGCTCACTTCAAGAATGAAACTGCAGACCTTTACGGTGAGTGTTACAACACTTAAAGGTGTTAGGTCCAGAGTTTGTTTCTTCAGATGTGTCCAGAGTTTCTTCCTTCTGGCAGGTTCATGGTCTTGCTCACTTCAAGAATGAAGCTGCAGACCTTTACGGTGAGTGTTACAACACGTAAAGGTGTTAGTTCCAGAATTTGTTCCTTCAGATGTGTTCAGAGTTTCTTCCTTCTGGCAGGTTCATGGTCTTGCTCACCTCAGGAATGAAGCTGCAGACCTCAGTGGTGAGTGTTACAGCACGTAAAGGTGTTATGTCCAGAGATTGTTAATTCAGATATGTACAGAGTTTCTTCCTTCTGGCAGGTTCATTGTCTTTCTCACTTCAAGAATGAAGCTGCAGACCTTTACGGTGAGTGTTACAGCCCTGAAAGGTGTTATGTCCAGAGTTTGTTCCTTCAGATGTGTCCAGAGTTTATTCGGTCTGGCAGGTTCATTGTCTTGCTCACTTCAAGAATGAAGCTGCAGAACTTAACGGTGAGTGTTACAGCATATAAATGTGTTATGTCCACAGTTTGTTCCTTCATATGTGTCCAGAGTTTCTTCCTTCTGGCAGGTTCATGGTGTTGCTCACTTAAAGAATGAAGCTGCAGACGTTAGTGGTTAGTGTTGCAGCACTTAAAGGTGTTATGTTCAGAGATTGTTCATTCAGATGTGTCCGTAGTTTCTTCCTTCTGGCAGGTTCATGGTCTTGCTCACTTCAAGAATGAAGGTTCAGACCTTAGTGGTGAGTGTTACAGCACTTAAAAGTGTTATGTCCAGTGATTGTTCATTCAGATGTGTCCGTAGTTTCTTCCTTCTGGCAGGTACAAGGCCTTGCTCACTTAAAGAATGAAGCTGCAGACCTTAGTGGAGAGTGTTTCAGCACTTAAAGGTGTTATCTCCAGAGTTTGTTCCTTCAGATGTGTCCAGAGTTTCTTCCTTCTGGCAGGTTCATGGTCTTGCTCACTTCAAGAATGAAGCTGCAGACCTTTACCGTGAGTGTTACAGCACTTAAAGGTGTTATGTCTAGAGTTTGTTCCTTCAGATGTGTCCAGAGTTTCTTCCTTCTGGAAGGTTCATGGTCTTGCTCACTTCAAGAATGAAGCTGCAGACCTTAGTGGTGAGTGTTACAGCACTTAAAAGTGTTATGTCCAGAGATTGTTACTTCAGATGTGTCAGGAGTTTCTTCCTTCTGGCAGGTTCATGGTCTTGCTTACTTCAAGAATGAAGCTGCAGACCTTAGTGGTGAGTGTTACAACACTTAAAGGTGTTATGTCCAGAGTTTGTTCCTTCAGATGTGTCCAGAGTTTCTTCCTTCTGGCAGGTTCATGGTCTTGCTCACTTCAAGAATGAAGCTGCATACATTTACGGTGAGTGTTACAGCACTTAAAGGTGTTATGTCCAGAGTTTGTTCCTTCAGATGTGCCCAGAGTTTCTTGCTTCTGGCAGATACATGGTCTTGCTCACTTCAAGAATGAAGCTGCAAACCTTTACGGTGAGTGTTACAACACTTAAAGTTGTTATGTCCAGAGTTTTTTCCTTCAGATGTGTACAGAGTTTCTTCCTTCCGGCAGGTTCATGATCTTGCTCACTTCAAGAATGAAGCTGCAGAAGTTAGTTGTGAGTGTTACAGCGCTGAAAGGTGTTATGTCCAGAGGTTGTTCATTCAGATGTGTCCGGAGTTTCTTCCGTCTGGCAGATTCATCGTCTTGCTCACTTCAAGAATGAAGCTGCAGACCGTAGTGGTGAGTGCTACAGCACTTAAAGGTGTTATGTCCAGAGTTTGTTCATTTAGATGTGTCCAGAGTTTCTTCCTTCTGGCAGGTTCATGGTCTTGCTGACTTCAAGAATAAAGCTGCAGACCTGTACGTTGAGTGTTACAGCACTTAAAGGTGTTATGTCCATAGTTTGTTCCTTCTGATGTGTCCAGAGTTAATTCCTTCTGGCAGGCTCATGGTCCTGCTCACTTGAAGAATGAAGCTGCAGACCTTACTGGTGAGTGTTACAGCACTTAAAGTGTTATGTCCTGAGTTTGTTCATGCAGATGTGACCGGAGTTTCTTTCTTCTGGCAGCTTCATGGTCTTGCTCACCTCAAGAATGAAGCTGCAGACCTTAGTGGTGAGTGTTACAGCACTTAAAGGTGTTATGTACAGAGTTCGTTACTTAATATGTGTCCAGAGTTTCTTCATTCTGGCAGATTCATGGTCTTGCTCACTTCAAGAATGAAGCTGCATACCTTTATGGTGAGTGTTACAGCACTTAAAGGTGTTATGTGTAGAGTTTGTTCCTTCAGATGTGTGCAGAGTTTCTTCCTTCTGGCAGGTTCATGGTCGTGCTCACTTCAAGAATGAAGCTGCAGACGTTTACGGTGAGTGTTACAGCACTTAACGGTGTTAGGTCCAGAGTTTGTTTCTTCAGATGTGTCCAGAGTTTCTTCCTTCTGGCAGGTTCATGGTCTTGCTCACTTCAAGAATGAAGCTGCAGACCTTTACGGTGAGTGTTACAACACTTAAAGGTGTTAGTTCCAGAATTTGTTCCTTCATATGTCTACAGAGTTTCTTCCTTCTGGCAGGTTCATGGTCTTGTTTACATCAGGAGTGAAGCTGCAGACCTCAGTGGTGAGTGCTACAGCACTTAAAGGTGTTATGTCCAGAGATTGTTATTTCAGATATGTCCAGAGTTTCTTGCTTCCTGCAGGTTCATGGTCTTGCTCACTTCAAGAATGAAGCTGCAGACCTTTACGGTGAGTGTTACAGCACTGAAAGGTGTTATGTCCAGTGTTTGTTCCTTCAGATGTGTCCAGAGTTTCTTCCGTTTGGCAGGTTCATGGTCTTGCTCACTTCAAGAATGAAGCTGCAGACCTTTACGGAGGGTGTTACAGCACATAAAGGTGTTATGTCCACAGTTTGTTCCTTCATATGTGTGCAGAGTTTCTTCCTTCTGGCAGGTTCATGGTCTTGCTCACTTAAAGAATGAAGCTGCAGACCTTAGTGGTGAGTGTTGCAGCACTTAAAGGTGTTATGTCCAGAGATTGTTCATTCAGATGTGTCCGTAGTTTCTTCCTTCTGGCAGGTTCATGGTCTTGCTCACTTCAAGAATGTAGCTGCAGACCTCAGTGGTGAGTGTTACAGCACTTAAAAGTGTTATGTCCAGTGATTGTTCATTCAGATATGTCCGTAGTTTCTTCCTTCTGGCAGGTTCAAGGTCTTGCTCACTTCAAGGATGAAGCTGCAGACCTTAGTTGAGAGTGTTTCAGCACTTAAAGTTGTTATGTCCAGAGTTTGTTCCTTCAGATGTGTCCAGAGTTTCTTCCTTCTGGCAGGTTCATGGTCTTGCTCACTTCAAGAGTGAAGCTGCAGACCTTAGTGGTGAGTGTTACAGCACTTAAAGGTGTTATGTCCAGAGATTGTTACTTCAAATGTGTCAGGAGTTTCTTCCTTCTGGCAGGTTCATGGCCTTGCTCACTTCAAGAATGAAGCTGCAGACATTAGTGGTGAGTGTTACAGCCCTTAAAGGTGTTATGTCCAGAGTTTGTTCCTTCAGATGTGTCCAGAGTTTCTTCCTTCTGGCAGGTTCATGGTCTTGCTCACTTCAAGAATGAATCTGCGGACCTTTACTGTGAGTGTTACAGCACGTAAAGGAGTTATATCCAGAGTTTGTTCCTTCAGATGTATCCAGAGTTTCTTCCTTCTGGCAGGCTCATGGTCCTGCTTAATTCAAGAATGAAGCTGCAGACATTTACGGTGAGTGTTACAGCACTTAGAGGTGTTATTTCCAGAGTTTGTTCCTTCAGATGTGTCCAGAGTTTCTTCTTTCTGGCAAGTCCATGGTCTTGCTCTCTTCAGGAATGAAGCTGCAGACGTTTACGGTGAGTGTTGCAGCACCTAAAGGTGTTATGTCCAGAGATTGTTCCTTCAGATGTGCCCAGAGTTTCTTCCTTCTGGCAGATTCATGGTCTTGCTCACTTGAAGAATGAAGCTGCAAACCTTTACGGTGAGTGTTACAACACTTAAAGGTGTTATGTCCAGAGTTTGTTCCTTCAGATGTGTCCAGAGTTTCTTCCTTCTTGCAGGTTCATGGTCTTGTCCACTTCAAGAATGAAACTGAAGACCCTTACGGTGAGTGTTACAGCACTTAAAGGTGTTATGTCCAGAGATTGTTCTTTCAGTTGTGTCCACAGTTTCTTCCTTTTGGCAGGTTCATGGTCTTGCTCACTTCAAGAATGAAGCTGCAGACCTTTACGGTGAGTGTTACAACACTTAAAGGTGTTATGTCCAGAGTTTGTTCCTCTGGATGTGTCCAGAGTTTCGTCCTTCTGGCAAGTTCATGGTCTTGCTCACTTCAAGAATGAAGCTGCAGACCTTGGTGGTGAGTTTTACAGCACTTACAGGTTTTATGTCCCGAGTTTGTTCCATCAGATGTGTCCAGAGTTTCTTCCTTTTGGCAGCTTCATGGTCTTGCTCACTTCAAGAATGAAGCTGCAGACCTCAGTGGTGAGTGTTACAGCACTTAAGTGTGTTATGTAAAGAGTTTGTTCCTTCAGATGTGTCCAAAGTTTCTTCAATCTGGCAGGTTCATGGTCTTGCTCACTTCAAGAGTGAACCTGCAGAATTCAGTGTTGAGTGTTACAGCACTTAAAGGTGTTATGTCTAGAGTTTGTTCCTTCAGATGTGTCCAGAGTTTCTTCCTTCTGGCAGGTTCATGGTCTTGCTCACTTCAAGAAAGAATGAAGCTGCAGACCTTTACGGTGAGTGTTACAGCATATAAAGGTGTTATGTCCAGAGTTTTGTCCTTCAGATGTCTCCAGAATTTCTTCCTTCTGGCAGGTTCATGGTCTTGCTCACTTCAAGAATGAAGCTGCAGACCTTGGTGGTGAGTGTTACAGCACTTAAATGTGTTATGTCCAGAGTTTGTTCCATCTGATGTGTACAGAGTTTCTTCCTTCTGGCAGGTTCATGGTCTTGCTCACTTCAAGAATGAAGCTGCAGACCTTAGTGGTGAGTGTTACAGCACTTAAAGGTGTTATGTCCAGAGTTTTTTCCTTGTGATGTGTCCAGAGTTTCTTCCTTCTGGCAGGTTCATGGTCTTGCTCACTTCAAGAATGAAGCTGCAGACCTTTACGTTGAGTGTTAGAGCACTTAATGTTGTCATGTCCAGAGTTTATTCCTTCAGATGTGTCCAGAGTTTCTTCATTCTGGCAGGTTCATGGTCTTGTTCTCTTCAAGAATGAAGCCGCAGACCTTAGTGGTGAGCGTTACAGCACTTAAAGGTTTTATGTCCAGAGTTTGTTCCATCAAATGTGTCTAGAGTTTCTTCCTTCTGGGAGGTTCATGGTCTTGCTCACTTCAAGAATGATGCTGCAGACCTTAGTGGTGAGTGTTACAAGACTTAAAGGTGTTATGTCCAGAGTTTGTTCCTTGTGATGTTTGCAGAGTTTCTTCATTCAGGCAGGTTCATGGTCTTGCTCACTTCAAGAATTATGCTGCAGACCTTTACGGTGAATTTTACAGCACTTAAAGGTGTTATGTCCAGAGTTTTTTCCTTTAGTTGTGTCCAGAGTTTCTTTCTTCTGGCAGGTGGGGGTTCTTGCTTACTTCAAGAATGAAGCTCCAGATCTTTACGGTGAGTTTTACAGCACTTAAAGGTGTTATGTCCAGAGTTTTTTCCTTCAGTTGTGTCCAGAGTTTTCTTTCTTCTGGAGTTTTCATGTTTCTTGCTCACTTCAAGAAAAGAAAGCTCCAGACCTTTACGGTGGAGTGTTACAGCACTTAAAGGTGTTATGTTCCAGAGTTTTTTCCCTCAGTTGTGTTCCAGAGTTTCTTTCTTCTGGTAGGTTTCATGTTGTTGCTCACTTCATGAATGAAGCTCCAGACCCTTTGCGGTGAGTGTTACAGCACTTAAAGCTATTATGTCCAGAGTTTTTACCTTTCAGATGTGTACAGGCTTTCTTCCTTCTGGCAGGTTTCATGGTCTTGCTAGATTCAAGAATGAACCTCCATTCCTTTACGGTGAGTGTTACAGCACTTAAAGGTGTTATGTCCAGAGTTTGTTCCTTCAGATGTGTCCAGAGTTTCTTCCTTCTGGCAAGTTCATGGTCTTGCTCACTTCAAGAATGAAGCTGCAGACCTTGTTGGTGTGTGTTACAGCACTTACACCTTTTATGTCTCGAGTTTGTTCCATCAGATGTGTCCAGAATTTCTTCCTTTTGGCAGGTTCATGGTCTTGCTCACTTCAAGAATGAAGCTGCAGACCTTAGTGGTGAGTGTTACAGCACTTAAAGGTGTTATGTAAAGAGTTTGTTCCATGTGATGTGCGCAGAGTTTCTTCCTTCTGGCAGGTTCATGGTGTTGCTCACTTGAAGAATGATGCTGCAGACATTTACGGTGAGTGTTACAGCACTTAAAGGTGTTATATCCAGAATTTGTTGCTTCAGATGTGAACAGAGTTTCTTTCTTCTGGCAGTTACATGGTCTTGCTTACTTCCAGAATGAAGCTACAGACCTTTACGGTGAGTTTTACAGCACTTAAAAGTGTTATGTCCAGAGTTTGTTCCTTCAGTTGTGTCCAGAGTTTCTTCCTTCTGGCAGGTTCATGGTCTTGCTCACTTCAAGAATGAAACTACAGACCTTTACGATGAGTGTTACAGCACTTACAGGTGTTATGTCCCGAGTTTTTTCCATCAGATGTGTCCAGAGTTTATTCCATTTGGCAGGTTCATGGTCTTGCTCACTTCAAGAATGAAGCTGCAGACCTTAGTGGTGAGTGTTACAGCACTTAAAGGTGTTATGTCCAGAGGTTGCTCCTTGTGATGTGTGCAGAGTTTGTTTCTTCTGGCAGGTTCATGGTCTTGCTCACTTCAAGAGTGAAGCTGCAGGCCTTTACGGTGGGTGTTATAGCACTTAAAGGTGTTATGTCCAGAGTTTTTTCTTTCAGATTTGTCCGGAGTTTCTTCCATCTGGCAGGTTCATGGTCTTGCTCACTTCAAGAGTGAAGCTGCAGAATTTAGTGGTGAGTGGTACAGCACTTAAAGGTGTTATGTCCAGAGTTTCTTCCTTCAGATTTGTCCAGAGTTTCTTCCTTCTGGCAGGTTCATGGTCTTGCTCACTTCAAGAGTGAAGCTGCAGAATTTAGTGGTGAGTGTTACAGCACTTAAAGGTGTTATGTCCAGAGTTTGTTCCTTCAGATGTGTCCAGATATTCTTCCTTCTTGCAGGGTCATGGTCTTGCTCACTTCAAGAAAGAATGAAGATGCAGACCGTTACGGTGAGTGTTACAGCATATAAAGGTGTTATGGACGGAGTTTGGTCTTTCAGATGTATCCAGAGTTTCTTCTTCGGGCAGGTTCATGGTCTTGCTCAATTCAAGAATAAAGCTGTAGACCTTGGTGGTGAGTGTTACAGCACTTAAAGGTGTTATGTCCAGAGTTTGTTCCATCAGATGTGTCCACAGTTTCCTTCTTCTCTCAGGTTCCTGGCCTTGCTCACTTCAAGAATGAATCTCCAGACTTTCATGGTGAGGTTTACAGCACTTAAAAGTGTTATGTCCAGAGTTTGTTCCTTCAGTTTTGTCCAGAGTTTCTTCCTTCTGGCAGGTTCATGGTCTTGTTCAATTCAATAATGAAGCTGCACACCTTGGTGGTGGGTGTTACAGCACTTAAAGGTGTTACGTCCAGAGTTTGTTCCATCAGATGTGTATAGACTTTCTTCCTTTTGGCAGATTCATGGTATTGCTTACTTCAAGAATGAAGCTGCAGACATTTACGGTGAGTGTTACAGCACTTAAAGTTGTTATATCCAGAGTTTGTTCCATAAGATGTGTCTAGAGTTTCTTCCTTCTGGCATGTTCATGGTCTTGCTCACTTCAGGATAGAATGAAGCTGCAGACATTTACGGTGAGTGTTACAGCATATAAAGTGTTATGTCCAGAGTTTGTTCCTTCAGATGTGTCCAGAGTTTCTTCTGGCAGGTTCATGGTCTTGCTCACTTCAAGAATGAAGGTCCAGTCCTTTACGGTGAGTGTTACAGCACTTAAAGGTGTTATGTCCAGAGTTTGTTCCTTCAGATGTGGCCAGAGTTTCTTCCTTCTGTCAGGTTCATGGTCTTGCTCACTTCAAGAATGAAACTGCAGACCATTACCGTGAGTGTTACAGCACTTAAATGTGTTATGTCCAGAGTTTTTTCCTTCAGATTTGTCCAGTTTCTTCCTTCTGGCAGGTTCATGGTCTTGCTCACTTCAAGAATGAAACTGTCGACCTTTACCGTGAGTGTTACAGCACTGAAAGATGTTATGTCCAGAGTTTGTTCCTTCAGATATTTCCAGAGTTTCTTCCATCTGGCAGGTTCATGGTCTTGATCACTTCAAGAATGAAGCAGCAGACCTTATTTGTGAGGGTTACAGCTCTTAAAGGTGTTATGTCCAGAGTTTTTTCCTTCAGTTGTGTCCAGAGTTTCTTCCTTCTGGCAGGTTCATGGTCTTGCTCACTTCAAGAATGAAGCTGCAGACATTTACTGTGAGTGTTACAGCACTTAAATTTGTTATATCCAGAGTTTGTTCCTTCAGATGTGTCTAGAGTTTCTTCCTTCTGGCATGTTCACGGTCTTGCTCACTTCAAGAAAGAATGAAGCTGCAGAAATTTACGGTGAGTGTTACAGCATATAAAGTGTTATGTCCAGAGTTTGTTCCTTCAGATGTGTCCAGAGTTTCTTCCTTCTGGCAGGTTCATGGTCTTGCTCACTTCAAGAATGAAGCTGCAGACCTAGGTGGTGAGTGTTATAGCACTTAAAGATGTTATGTCCAGAGTTTGTTCATTCAGATGTGTCCAGAATTTCTTTCTTCTGGCAGGTTCATGGTCTTGCGGACTTCAGTAATGAAGCTCAAGTCCTTTACGGTGAGTGTTACGGCACTTAAAGGTGTTATGTCCAGAGTTTCTTCCATCAGATTTGTCCAGAGTTTCTTCCTTCTGGCGGGTTCATGGTCTTGCTCACTTCAAGAATGAAGCTGCAGTCCTTAGTGGTGAGTGTTACAGCACTTAAAGGTGTTATGTAAAGAGTTTGTTCCTTCAGATGTGTCCAAAGTTTCTTCAATCTGGCAGGTTCATGGTCTTACTCACTTCAAGAGTGAAGATGCAGAATTTAGTGGTGAGTGTTACAGCACTTAAAAGTGTTATGTCCAGCGTTTGTTACTACAGATGTGTCCAGATATTCTTCCTTCTGGCAGGTTCATGGTCTTGCTCACTTCAAGAAAGAATGAAGCTGCAGACCTTTACGGTGAGTGCTACAGCATATAAAGGTGTTAGGTCTAGAGTTTTTTCCTTCAGATGTGTCCAGAGTTTCTTCCTTCTGGCAGGTTCATGGTCTTGCTCAATTCAAGAATGAAGCTGCAGACCTTAGTTTTGAGTGTTACAGCCCTTGAAAGTGTTATGTCCAGAGTTTGTTCCTTCAGATGTGTCTAGAGTTTCTTCCTTCTGGCAGGTTCATGGTCTTGCTCACTTCAAGAATGAAGCTGCAGACCTTAGGGGTGAGTGTTACAGTACTTAAAGGTGTTATGTGCAGAGTTTTTTTCCTTCAGATGTGTCCAGAGTTTCTTCCAACTTGCATTTTCATGGTCTTGCTCACTTCAAGAGTGAAGCTGCAAAATTTAGTGGTGATTGTTACAGCACTTAAAGGTGTTATGTCCAGAGTTTGTTCCTTCAGATGTGTCGAGATATTCTTTCTTCTGGTATGTTCATGGTCTGGCTCACTTTAAGAAAGAATGAAGCTGCAGACCTTTACGGTGAGTGTTACAGCATATAAAGGTGTTATGTCCAGAGTTTTGTCCTTCAGATGTCTCCAGAAATTCTTCCTTCGAGCAGGTTCATGGTCTTGCTCACTTCAAGAATGAAGCTGCAGACTTTGGTGGTGAGTGTTACAGCACTTAAATGTGTTATGTCCAGAGTTTGTTCCATCTGATGTGTACAGAGTTTCTTCCTTCTGGCAGGTTCATGGTCTTGCTCACTTCAAGAATGAAGCTGCAGACCCTAGTGGTGAGTGTTACAGCACTTAAAGGTGTTATGTCCAGAGTTTGTTCCTTGTGATGTGTCCAGAGTTTCTTCCTTCTGGCAGGTTCATGGTCTTGCTCACTTCAAGAATGCAGCTGCAGACCTTTACGTTGAGTGTTAGAGCACTTAATGTTGTCATGTCCAGAGTTTGTTCCTTCAGATGTGTCCAGAGTTTCTTCATTCTGGCAGGTTCATGGTCTTGTTCTCTTCAAGAATGAAGCCGCAGACCTTAGTGGTGAGCGTTACAGCACTTAAAGGTTTTATGTCCAGAGATTGTTCCATCAAATGTGTCTAGAGTTTCTTCCTTCTGGGAGGTTCATGGTCTTGCTCACTTCAAGAATGATGCTGCAGACCTTAGTGGTGAGTGTTACAACACTTAAAGGTGTTATGTCCAGAGTTTGTTCCTTGTGATGTTTGCAGAGTTTCTTCATTCTGGCAGGTTCATGGTCTTGCTCACTTCAAGAATGATGCTGCAGACCTTTACGGTGAGTTTTACAGCACTTAAAAGTGTTATGTCCAGAGATTTTTCCTTCAGTTGTGTCCAGAGTTTCCTTCTTCTGGCAGTTTCATGTTCTTGCTCACTTCAAGAATGAAGCTCCAGACCTTTTAGGTGAGTGTTACAGCACTTAAAGGTATTATGTCCAGAGTTTTTTCCTTCAGATGTGTACAGAGTTTCTTCCTTCTGGCAGGTTCATGGTCTTGCTAGCTTCAAGAATGAACCTCCATTCCTTTACGGTGAGTGTTACAGCACTTAAAGGTGTTATGTCCGGAGTTTGTTCCTCCAGATGTGTCCAGAGTTTCTTCCTTCTGGCAGGTTCATGGTCTTGCTCACTTCAAGAATGAAGCTGCAGACCTTAGTGGTGAGGGTTACAGCATTTAAAGGTGTTATGTCCAGAGTTTTTTCCTTCAGATGTGTCCAGAGTTTCTTCCTTCTGGCAGGTTTATGGTCTTGCTCACTTCAAGAATGAAACTACAGACCTTTACGATGAGTGTTACAGTACTTACAGGTGTTATGTCCCGAGTTTTTTCCATCAGATGTGTCCAGACTTTATTCCTTTTGGCAGGTTCATGGTCTTGCTCACTTCAAGAATGAAGCTGCAGACCTTAGTGGTGAGTGTTACAGCACTTAAAGGTGTTATTTCCAGAGGTTGCTCCTTGTGATGTGTCCAGAGTTTGTTTCTTCTGGCAGGTTCATGGTCTTGCTCACTTCAAGAATGAAGCTGCAGGCCTTTACGGTGAGTGTTAAAGCACTTAAATGTGTTATGTCCAGAGTTTGTTCCTTCAGATGTGTTCAGAGTTTCTTCCTTCTGGCAGGTTCATGGTCTTGCTCACTTCAAGAGTGAAGCTGCAGAATTTAGTGGTGAGTGTTACAGCACTTAAAGGTGTTATGTCCAGAGTTTCTTCCTTCAGATTTGTCCAGAGTTTCTTCCCTCTGGCAGGTTCATGGTCTTGCTCACTTCAAGAGTGAAGCTGCAGAATTTAGTGGTGAGTGTTACAGCACTTAAAGGTGTTATGTCCAGAGTTTGTTCCTTCATATGTGTCCAGATATTCTTCCTTCTTGCAGGGTCATGGTCTTGCTCACTTCAAGAAAGAATGAAGATGCAGACCGTTACGGTGAGTGTTACAGCATATAAAGGTGTTGTGGACGGAGTTTGGTCCTTCAGATGTATCCAGAGTTTCTTCTTCGAGCAGGTTCATGGTCTTGCTCAATTCAAGAATAAAGCTGCAGACCTTGGTGGTGAGTGTTACAGCACTTAAAGGTGTTATGTCCAGAGTTTGTTCCATCAGATGTGTCCACAGTTTCCTTCTTCTCTCAGGTTCCTGGCCTTGCTCACTTCAAGAATGAATCTCCAGACTTTTACGGTGAGGTTTACAGCACTTAAAAGTGTTGTGTCCAGAGTTTGTTCCTTCAGTTTTGTCCAGAGTTTCTTCCTTCTGGCAGGTTCATGGTCTTGTTCAATTCAATAATGAAGCTGCACACCTTGGTGGTGGGTGTTACAGCACTTAAAGGTGTTACGTCCAGAGTTTGTTCCATCAGATGTGTATAGACTTTCTTCCTTTTGGCAGGTTCATGGTATTGCTCACTTCAAGAATGAAGCTGCAGACATTTACGGTGAGTGTTACAGCACTTAAAGTTGTTATATCCAGAGTTTGTTCCATAAGATGTGTCTAGAGTTTCTTCCTTCTGGCATGTTCATGGTCTTGCTCACTTCAGGATAGAATGAAGCTGCAGACATTTACGGTGAGTGTTACAGCATATAAAGTGTTATGTCCAGAGTTTATTCCTTCAGATGTGTCCAGAGTTTCTTCTTTCTGGCAGGTTCATGGTCTTGCTCACTTTAAGAATGAGGCTGCAGACCTAGGTGGTGAGTGTTACAGCACTTAAAGGTGTGATGTCCAGAGTTTCTTCCGTAAGATGTGTCTAGAGTTTCTTCCTTCTGGCATGTTCATGGTCTTGCTCACTTCAAGAAAGAATGAAGCTGCAGACCTTTACGGTGATTGTTACAGCATATAAAGTGTTATGTCCAAAGTTTGTTCCTTCAGATATGTCCAGAGTTTCTTCCTTCTGGCAGGTTCATGGTCTTGCTCACTTTAAGAATGAGGCTGTAGACCTAGGTGGTGAGTGTTACAGCACTTAAAGGTGTGATGTCCAGAGTTTGTTCCTTCAGATGTGTCCAGTGTTCCTTTCTTCTGGCAGGTTCATGGTCTTGCTCACTTCAAGAATGAAGCTCCAGTCCTTTACGGTGAGTGTTACAACACTTAAAGGTGTTATGTGCAGAGTTTGTTCCTTCAGATGTGTCCAGAGTTTCTTCCTTCTGGCAGGTTCATGGTCTTGCTCACTTCAAAAATGAAACTGCAGACCATTACGGTGAGTGTTACAGCACTTAAAGGTGTTATGTCCAGAGTTTGTTCCTTCAGATGTGTCCAGTTTCTTCCTCCTGGCAGGTTCATGGTCTTGCTCACTTCAAGAATGAAACTGTAGACCTTTACGGTGAGTGTTACAGCACTGAAAGATGTTATGTCCAGAGTTTTTTCCTTCAGATATTTCCAGAGTTTCTTCCATCTGGCAGGTTCATGGTCTTGGTCACTTCAAGAATGAAACTGCAGACCTTAGTGGTGAGTGTTACTGCACTTAAAGGTGTTATGTCCAGAGTTTTTTCCTACAGATGTGTCCAGAGTTTCTTCCTTCTGGCAGGTTCATGGTCTTGCTCACTTCAAGAATGAAGCTACAGACCTTAGTTATGAGTGTTACAGCACTTAAAGGTATTATGCCCAGAGTTTGTTACTTCAGATGTGTCCAGAGTTTCTCCCTTCTGGCAGGTTCATGGTCTTGCTCACTTCAAGAATGAAGCTGCATTCCTTAGTGGTGAGTGTTCCAGCACCTAAAGATGTTATGTAAAGAGTTTGTTCCTTCAGATGTGTCCAAAGTTTCTTCAATTTGGCAGGTTCATAGTCTTGCTCACTTCAAGAGTGTAGCTGCAGAATTTAGTGGTGAGTGTTACAGCACTTAAAAGTGTTATGTCCATAGTTTGTTACTTCAGATGTGTCCAGATATTCTTCCTTCTGGCAGGTTCATGGTCTTGCTCACTTCAAGAAAGAATGAAGCTGCAGACCTTTACGGTGAGTGCTACAGCATATAAAGGTGTTATGTCCAGAGTTTTTTCCTACAGATTTGTCCAGAGTTTCTTCCTTCTGGCAGGTTCATGGTCTTGCTCAATTCAAGAATGAAGCTGCAGACCTTAGTTTTGAGTGTTACAGCACTTAAAAGTGTTATGTCCAGAGATTGTTCCTTCAGATGTGTCCAGAGTTTCTTCCTTCTGGCAGGTTCATGGTCTTGCTCACTTCAAGAATGAAGCTACAGACCTTAGGGGTGAGTGTTACAGTACTTAAGGGTGTTATGTCCAGAGTTTTTTCCTTCAGATGTGTTCAGAGTTTCTTCCAACTTGCATTTTCATGGTCTTGCTCACTTCAAGAGTGAAGCTGCAAAATTTAGTGGTGATTGTTACAGCACTTAAAGGTGTTATGTCCAGAGTTTGTTCCTTCAGATGTGTCGAGATATTCTTTCTTCTGGTATGTTCATGGTCTTGCTCACTTCAAGAAAGAATGAAGCTGTAGACCTTTACGGTGAGTGTTACAGCATATAAAGGTGTTATGTCCAGAGTTTTGTCCCTCAGATGTGTCCAGAATTTCTTCTTTCGGGGAGGTTCATGGTCTTGCTCACTTCAAGAATGAAGCTGCAGACCTTGGTGGTGATTGTTGCAGCAGTTAAAGGTGTTTGTCCTGAGTTTGTTCCATCGGATGTGTATAGAGTTTCTTCCTTCTGGCAGGTTGATGGTCTTGCTCACTTCAAGAACGAAGCTGCAGACCTTTACGGTGAGTGTCACAGCACTTAAAGGGGTTATGTCCAGAGTTTGTTCATTCAGATGTGTCCAGAATTTCTCCCTTCTGGCAGGTTCATGGTCTTGCTCACTTCAAGAATGAAGATGCAGACATTTAGGGTGAGTGTTACGACACTTAAAAGTTTTATGTCCAGAGTTTGTTCCTTCAGATGTGGCCAGAGTTTCTTCCTTCTGGCAGGTTCACGGTCTTGCTCACTTCAAGAATGAAGCTGCAGACCTAGGTGGTGAGCGTTACAGCACTTAAAGGTGTTATGTCCAGAGTTTGTACCGTCAGATACGTCTAGAGTTTCTTCTCTCTGGCAGGTTCATGGTCTTGCTCACTTCAAGAATGAAGCTGCAGACCTTAGTGGTGAGTGTTACAGTACTTAAAGTTGTTATGTCCAGAGTTTGTTCGTTCAGATGTGTCCAGAGTTTCTTCCATCTGGCAGGTTCATGGTCTTGCGCACTTCAAGAATGGAGCTGCAGACCTTTGAGGTGAGTGTTGCAACAATTAAAGGTGTTATGTCCAGGGTTTTTTCCTTCAGAGGTGTCCAGAGTTTCTTCTTTCTGGCAGGTTCATGGTCTTGCTCACTTCAAGAATGAAACTGTAGACCTTTACGGTGAGTGTTACAGCACTGAAAGATGTTATGTCCAGAGTTTTTTCCTTCAGATATTTCCAGAGTTTCTTCCATCTGGCAGGTTCATGGTCTTGCTCACTTCAAGAATGAAGCTGCAGACCTTAGTGGTGAGGGTTACAGCACTTAAAGTTGTTTTATCCAGAGTTTTTTCCTTCAGATGTGTCCAGAGTTTCTTCCTTCTGGCATGTTCATGGTCTTGCTCACTTCAAGAATGAAGCTGCAGACCTTAGTGGTGGGTGTTACAGCACTTAAAGGTATTATGCCCAGAGTTTGTTACTTCAGATGTGTCCAGAGTTTCTTCCTTCTGGCAGGTTCATGGTTTTGCTCACTTCAAGAATGAAGCTGCAGACATTTACGGTGAGTGTTACAGCACTTAAATTTGTTATATCCAGAGTTTGTTCCTTCAGATGTGTCCAGAATTTCTTCCTTCTGGCAGGTTCATGGTCTTCCTTACTTCAAGAATGAAGCTGCAGACCTTTATGGTGAGTGTTACAGCACTTAAAAGTTTTATGTCCAGAGTTTGTTCCTTCAGATGTGTCCAGAGTTTCTTCCTTCAGGCAGGTTCATGGTCTTGCTCACTTCAAGAATGAAGCTGCAGACCTAGGTGGTGAGCGTTACAGCACTTAAAGGTGTTATGTCCAGAGTTTGTTCCTTAAGATGTGTTCTGAGTTTCTTCCTTCTGGCAGGTTCATGGTCTTGCTCACTTCAAGAATGAAGCTGCAGACCTTAGTGGTGAATGTTACAGCAATTAAAGGTGTTATGTCCAGAGTGTTTTCTTTCAGATGTGTCCGGAGTTTCTTCCATCTGGCAGGTTCATGGTCTTGCTCACTTCAAGAGTGAAGCTGCAGAATTTAGTGGTGAGTGTTACAGCACTTAAATGTGTTATGTCCAGAGTTTGTTCCTTCAGATGTGTCCAGATATTCTTCCTTCTTGCAGGGTCATGGTCTTGCTCACTTCAAGAAGGAATGAAGGTGCAGACCTTTACGGTGAGTGTTACAGCATATAAAGTTGTTATGTACGGAGTTTAGTCCTTCAGATGTGTCCAGAGTTTCTTCCTTCGGGCAGGTTCATGGTATTGCTCACTTCAAGAATAAAGCTGCAGACCTTGGTGGTGAGTGTTAGAGCACTTAAAGGTGTTATGTTCAGAGTTTGTTCCATCAGATGTGTATAGAGTTTCTTCCTTCTGGCAGGTTCATGGACTTGTTCACTCCAAGAATGAAGCTGCAGACCTTTACGGTGAGTGTTACAGCACTTAAAGTTGTTATATTCAGAGTTTGTTCCTTCAGATGTGTCCAGAGTTTCCTTCTTCTCTCAGGTTCATGGCCTTGTTCAATTCAAGATTGAATCTCCAGACCTTTACGGTGAGTTTTACAGCACTTAAAAGTGTTATGTTCAGAGTTTGTTCCTTCAGTTTTGTCCAGAGTTTCTTTCTTCTAGCAGGTTCATGGTCTTGCTCACTTCAAGAATGAAGCTGCACACCTTAGTGGTGAGTGTTCCAGCACTTAAAAGTGTTATGTCCAGAGTTTGTTCCATCAGATGTGTATAGACTTTCTTCTTTCTGGCAGGTTCTTGGTCTTGCTTACTTCAAGAATGAAGCTGCAGACATTTACGGTGAGTGTTACAGCAATTAAAGTTGTTATATCCAGAGTTTGTTCCGTAAGATGTGTCTAGAGTTTCTTCCTTCTGGCATGTTCATGGTATTGCTCACTTCAAGTAAGAATGAAGCTGCAGACCTTTACGGTGATTGTTACAGCATATAAAGTGTTATGTCCAAAGTTTGTTCCTTCAGATGTGTCCAGAGTTTCTTCCTTCTGGCAGGTTCATGTTCTTGCTCACTTTAAGAATGAGGCTGCAGACCTAGGTGGTGAGTGTTACAGCACTTAAAGGTGTGATGTCCAGAGTTTGTTCCTTCAGATGTGTCCAGAGTTTCTTTCTTCTGGCAGGTTCATGGTCTTGCTCACTTCAAGAATGAAGCTCCAGTCCTTTACGGTGAGTGTTACAGCACTTAAAAGTGTTATGTCCAGAGCTTTTTTCCTTCAGATGTGTCCAGAGTTTCTTCCTTCTGGCAGGTTCATGGTCTTGCTCACTTCAAAAATGAAACTGCAGACGATTACGGTGAGTGTTACAGCACTTAAAGGTGTTATGTCCAGAGTTTGTTCCTTCAGATGTGTCCAGTTTCTTCCTCCTGGCAAGTTCATGGTCTTGCTCACTTCAAGAATGAAACTGTAGACCTTTACGGTGAGTGTTACAGCACTGAAAGATGTTATGTCCAGAGTTTTTTCCTTCAGATATTTCCAGAGTTTCTTCCATCTGGCAGGATCATGGTCTTGGTCACTTCAAGAATGAAGCTGCAGACCTTAGTGGTGAGGGTTACAGCACTTAAAAGTGTTATGTCCAGAGTTTTTTCCTACAGATGTGTCCAGAGTTTCTTCCTTCTGGCAGGTTCATGGTCTTGCTCACTTCAAGAATGAAGCTACAGACCTTAGTGGTGAGTGTTACAGCACTTAAAGGTATTATGCCCAGAGTTTGTTACTTCAGATGTGTCCAGAGTTTCTCCCTTCTGGCAGGTTCATGGTCTTGCTCACTTTAAGAATGAAGCTGCAGACATTTACGGTGAGTGTTACAGCACTTATATTTGTTATATCCAGAGTTTATTCCTTCAGATGTGTCCAGAATTTCTTCCTTCTGGCGGGTTCATGGTCTTGCTCACTTCAAGAATGAAGCTGCAGACTTTTAGGGTGAGTGTTACAGCACTTGAAAGTTTTATGTCCAGAGTTTGTTCCTTTAGATGTGTCCAGAGTTTCTTCCTTCAGGCAGGTTCATGGTCTTGCTCACTTTAAGAATGAAGCTGCAGACCTAGGTGGTGATCGTTACAGCATTTAAAGGTGTTATGTCCAGAGTTTTTCCTTCAGATGTGTCCAGAGTTTCTTCCTTCTGGCAGGTTCATGGTCTTGCACACTTCAAGAATGAAGCTGCAGAACTTTACGGTGAGTGTTATAGCACTTAAAGGTGTTATGTCCAGCGTTTGTTCCTTCAGATGTGTTCAGAGTTTCTTCCTTCTGGCAGGTTCATGGTCTTGCTCACTTCAAGAATGAAGCTGCAGACCTTAGTGGTGAATGTTACAGCAATTAAAGGTGTTATGTCCAGAGTTTTTTCTTTCAGATGTGTCCGGAGTTTCTTCCATCTGGCAGGTTCATGGTCTTGCTCACTTCAAGAGTGAAGCTGCAGAATTTAGTGGTGAGTGTTACAGCACTTAAATGTGTTATGTCCAGAGTTTGTTCCTTCAGATGTGTCCAGATATTCTTCCTTCTTGCAGGGTCAAGGTCTTGCTCACTTCAAGAAAGAATGAAGATGCAGACCTTTACGGTGAGTGTTACAGCATATAAAGTTGTTATGTACGGAGTTTAGTCCTTCAGATTTGTCCAGAGTTTCTTCCTTCGGGCATGTTCATGGTATTGCTCACTTCAAAAATAAAGCTGCAGACATTGGTGTTGAGTGTTACAGCACTTAATGGTGTTATGTCCAGCGTTTGTTCCATCAGATATGTATAGATTTTCTTCCTTCTGACAGGTTCATGGACTTGTTCACTTCAAGAACGAAGCTGCAGACCTTTACGGTGAGTGTTACAGCACTTAAAGGTGTTATATACAGAGTTTGTTCCATAAGATGTGTCTAGAGTTTCTTCCTTCTGGCATGTTCATGGTCTTGCTCACTTCAAGAAAGAATGAAGCTGCAGACCATTACGGTGAGTGTTATAGCATATAAAGTGTTATGTCCAAAGTTTGTTCCTTCAGATGTGTCCAGAGTTTCTTCCTTCTGGCAGGTTCATGGTCTTGCTCACTTCAAGAATGAAGCTGCACACCTTAGCGGTGAGTGTTACAGTACTTAAAGGTGTTATGTCCAGAGTTTTTTCCTTCAGATGTGTCCAGAGTTTCTTTCAACTTGCATTTTCATGGTCTTGCTCACTTCAAGAGTGAAGCTGCAAAATTTAGTGGTGATTGTTACAGCACTTAAAGGTGTTATGTCCAGAGTTTGTTCCTTCAGATGTGTCCAGATATTCTTTCTTCTGGCATGTTCATGGTCTTGCTCACTTCAAGAAAGAATGAAGCTGTAGACCTTTACGGTGAGTGTTACAGCATATAAAGGTGTTATGTCCAGAGTTTTGTCCCTCAGATGTGTCCAGAATTTCTTCTTTCGGGCAGGTTCATGGTCTTGCTCACTTCAAGAATGAAGCTGCAGACCTTGGTGGTGATTGTTACAGCAGTTAAAGGTGTTTGTCCTGAGTTTGTTCCATCGGATGTGTATAGAGTTTCTTCCTTCTGGCAGGTTGATGGTCTTGCTCACTTCAAGAATGAAGCTGCAGACCTTTACGGTGAGTGTCACAGCACTTAAAGGTGTTATGTCCAGAGTTTGTTCATTCAGATGTGTCCAGAATTTCTTCCTTCTGGCAGGTTCATGGTCTTGCTCACTTCAAGAATGAAGATGTAGACATTTAGGGTGAGTGTTACGGCACTTAAAAGTTTTATGTCCAGAGTTTGTTCCTTCAGATGTGGCCAGAGTTTCTTCCTTCTGGCAGGTTCACGGTCTTGCTCACTTCAAGAATGAAGCTGCAGACCTAGGTGGTGAGCGTTACAGCACTTAAAGGTGTTATGTCCAGAGTTTCTACCGTCAGATACGTCTAGAGTTTCTTCCCTCTGGCAGGTTCATGGTCTTGCTCACTTCAAGAATGAAGCTGCAGACCTTGGTGGTGATTGTTACAGCAGTTAAAGGTGTTTGTCCTGAGTTTGTTCCATCGGATGTGTATAGAGTTTCTTCCTTCTGGCAGGTTGATGGTCTTGCTCACTTCAAGAATGAAGCTGCAGACCTTTACGGTGAGTGTCACAGCACTTAAAGGTGTTATGTCCAGAGTTTGTTCATTCAGATGTGTCCAGAATTTCTTCCTTCTGGCAGGTTCATGGTCTTGCTCACTTCAAGAATGAAGATGTAGACATTTAGGGTGAGTGTTACGGCACTTAAAAGTTTTATGTCCAGAGTTTGTTCCTTCAGATGTGGCCAGAGTTTCTTCCTTCTGGCAGGTTCACGGTCTTGCTCACTTCAAGAATGAAGCTGCAGACCTAGGTGGTGAGCGTTACAGCACTTAAAGGTGTTATGTCCAGAGTTTCTACCGTCATATACGTCTAGAGTTTCTTCCCTCTGGCAGGTTCATGGTCTTGCTCACTTCAAGAATGAAGCTGCAGACCTTAGTGGTGAGTGTTACAGTACTTAAAGTTGTTATGTCCAGAGTTTGTTCGTTCAGATGTGTCCAGAGTTTCTTCCATCTGGCAGGTTCATGGTCTTGCGCACTTCAAGAATGGAGCTGCAGACCTTTGAGGTGAGTGTTGCAACAATTAAAGGTGTTGTGTCCAGGGTTTTTTCCTTCAGAGCTGTCCAGAGTTTCTTCCTTCTGGCAGGTTCATGGTCTTGCTCACTTCAAGAATGAAACTGTAGACCTTTACGGTGAGTGTTACAGCACTGAAAGATGTTATGTCCAGAGTTTGTTCCTTCAGATATTTCCAGAGTTTCTTCCATCTGGCAGGTTCATGGTCTTGTTCACTTCAAGAATGAAGCTGCAGACCTTAGTGGTGAGGGTTACAGCACTTAAAGTTGTTTTATCCAGAGTTTTTTCCTTCAGATGTGTCCAGAGTTTCTTCCTTCTGGCAGGTTCATGGTCTTGCTCACTTCAAGAATGAAGCTGCAGACCTTAGTGGTGGGTGTTACAGCACTTAAAGGTATTATGCTCAGAGTATCTTACTTCAGATGTGTCCAGAGTTTCTTCCTTCTGGCAGGTTCATGGTCTTGCTCACTTCAAGAATGAAGCTGCAGACATTTACGGTGAGTGTTACAGCACTTAAATTTGTTATATCCAGAGTTTGTTCCTTCAGATGTGTCCAGAGTTTCTTCCTTCTGGCAGGTTCATGGTCTTGCTTACTTCAAGAATGAAGCTGCAGACCTTTAGGGTGAGTGTTACAGCACTTAAAAGTTTTATGTCCACAGTTTGTTCCTTCAGATGTGTCCAGAGTTTCTTCCTTCAGGCAGGTTCATGGTCTTGCTCACTTCAAGAATGAAGCTGCAGACCTAGGTGGTGAGCGTTACAGCACTTAAAGGTGTTATGTCCAGAGTTTGTTCCTTCAGATGTGTTCTGAGTTTCTTCCTTCTGGGAGGTTCATGGTCTTGCTCACTTCAAGAATGAAGCTGCAGACCTTAGTGGTGAATGTTACAGCAATTAAAGGTGTTATGTCCAGAGTTTTTTCTTTCCGATGTGTCCGGAGTTTCTTCCATCTGGCAGGTTCAAGGTCTTGCTCACTTCAAGAGTGAAGCTGCAGAATTTAGTGGTGAGTGTTACAGCACTTAAATGTGTTATGTCCAGAGTTTGTTCCTTCAGATGTGTCCAGATATTCTTCCTTCTTGCAGGGTCATGGTCTTGCTCACTTCAAGAAAGAATGAAGGTGCAGACCTTTACGGTGAGTGTTACAGCATATAAAGTTGTTATGTACGGAGTTTAGTCCTTCAGATGTGTCCAGAGTTTCTTCCTTCGGGCAGGTTCATGGTATTGCTCACTTCAAGAATAAAGCTGCAGACCTTGGTGGTGAGTGTTAGAGCAGTTAAAGGTGTTATGTTCAGAGTTTTTTACATCAGATGTGTATAGAGTTTCTTCCTTCTGGCAGGTTCATGGACTTGTTCACTCCAAGAATGAAGCTGCAGACCTTTACGGTGAGTGTTACAGCACTTAAAGTTGTTATATTCAGAGTTTGTTCCTTCAGATGTGTCCAGAGTTTCCTTCTTCTCTCAGGTTCATGGCCTTGTTCAATTCAAGATTGAATCTCCAGACCTTTACGGTGAGTTTTACAGCACTTAAAAGTGTTATTTTCAGAGTTTGTTCCTTCAGTTTTGTCCAGAGTTTCTTTCTTCTGGCAGGTTCATGGTCTTGCTCACTTCAAGAATGAAGTTGCACACCTTGGTGGTGAGTGTTCCAGCACTTAAAAGTGTTATGTCCAGAGTTTGTTCCATCAGATGTGTATAGACTTTCTTCCTTCTGGCAGGTTCATGGTCTTGCTTACTTCAAGAATGAAGCTGCAGACATTTACGGTGAGTGTTACAGCAATTAAAGTTGTTATATCCAGAGTTTGTTCCGTAAGATGTGTCTAGAGTTTCTTCCTTCTGGCATGTTCATGGTATTGCTCACTTCAAGTAAGAATGAAGCTGCAGACCTTTACGGTGATTGTTACAGCATATAAAGTGTTATGTCCAAAGTTTGTTCCTTCAGATGTGTCCAGAGTTTCTTCCTTCTGGCAGGTTCATGTTCTTGCTCACTTTAAGAATGAGGCTGCAGACCTAGGTGGTGAGTGTTACAGCACTTAAAGGTGTGATGTCCAGAGATTGTTCCTTCAGATGTGTCCAGAGTTCCTTTCTTCTGACAGGTTCATGTTCTTGCTCTCTTCAAGAATGAAGCTCCAGTCCTTTACGGTGAGTGTTACAGCACTTAAAAGTGTTATGTCCAGAGTTTTTTCCTTCAGATGTGTCCAGAGTTTCTTCCTTCTGGCAGGTTCATGGTCTTGCTCACTTCAAAAATGAAACTGGAGACCATTACGGTGAGTGTTACAGCACTTAAAGGTGTTATGTCCAGAGTTTGTTCCTTCAGATGTGTCCAGTTTCTTCCTCCTGGCAAGTTCATGGTCTTGCTCACTTCAAGAATGAAACTGTAGACCTTTACGGTGAGTGTTACAGCACTGAAAGATGTTATGTCCAGAGTTTTTTCCTTCAGATATTTCCAGAGTTTCTTCCATCTGGCAGGATCATGGTCTTGGTCACTTCAAGAATGAAGCTGCAGACCTTAGTGGTGAGGGTTACAGCACTTAAAGGTGTTATGTCCAGAGTTTTTTTCTACAAATGTGTCCAGAGTTTCTTCCTTCTGGCTGGTTCATGGTCTTGCTCACTTCAAGAATGAAGCTACAGACCTTAGTGGTGAGTGTTACAGCACTTAAAGGTATTATGCCCAGGGTTTGTTACTTCAGATGTGTCCAGAGTTTCTCCCTTCTGGCAGGTTCATGGTCTTGCTCACTTCAAGAATGAAGCTGCAGACATTTACGGTGAGTGTTACAGCACTTATATTTGTTGTATCCAGAGTTTGTTCCTTCAGATGTGTCCAGAATTTCTTCCTTCTGGCGGGTTCATGGTCTTGCTCACTTCAAGAATGAAGCTGCAGACCTTTAGGGTGAGTGTTACAGCACTTGAAAGTTTTATGTCCAGAGTTTGTTCCTTTAGATGTGTCCAGAGTTTCTTCCTTCAGGCAGGTTCATGGTCTTGCTCACTTTAAGAATGAAGCTGCAGACCTAGGTGGTGATCGTTACAGCATTTAAAGGTGTTATGTCCAGAGTTTTTCCTTCAGATGTGTCCAGAGTTTCTTCCTTCTGGCAGGTTCATGGTCTTGCACACTTCAAGAATGAAGCTGCAGAACTTTACGGTGAGTGTTATAGCACTTAAAGGTGTTATGTCCAGCGTTTGTTCCTTCAGATGTGTTCAGAGTTTCTTCCTTCTGGCAGGTTCATGGTCTTGCTCACTTCAAGAATGAAGCTGCAGACCTTAGTGGTGAATGTTACAGCAATTAAAGGTGTTATTTCCAGAGTTTGTTCCTTCAGATGTGTCCAGATATTCTTCCTTCTTGCAGGGTCAAGGTCTTGCTCACTTCAAGAAAGAATGAAGATGCAGACCTTTACGGTGAGTGTTACAGCATATAAAGTTGTTATGTACGGAGATTAGTCCTTCAGATTTGTCCACAGTTTCTTCCTTCGGGCAGGTTCATGGTATTGCTCACTTCAAGAATAAAGCTGCAGACATTGGTGTTGAGTGTTACAGCACTTAAACGTGTTATGTCCAGCGTTTGTTCCATCAGATGTGCATAGATTTTCTTCCTTCTGGCAGGTTCATGGACTTCTTCACTTCAAGAATGAAGCTGCAGTCCTTTACGGTGAGTGTTACAGCACTTAAAGGTGTTATATACAGAGTTTGTTCCATAAGATGTGTCTAGAGTTTCTTCCTTCTGGCATGTTCATGGTCTTGCTCACTTCAAGAAAGAATGAAGCTGCAGACCATTACGGTGAGTGTTATAGCATATAAAGTGTTATGTCCAAAGTTTGTTCCTTCAGATGTGTCCAGAGTTTCTTCCTTCTGGCAGGTTCATGGTCTTGCTCACTTCAAGAATGAAGCTGCACACCTTAGCGGTGAGTGTTACAGTACTTAAAGGTGTTTTGTCCAGAGTTTTTTCCTTCAGATGTGTCCAGAGTTTCTTTCAACTTGCATTTTCATGGTCTTGCTCACTTCAATAGTGAAGCTGCAAAATTTAGTGGTGATTGTTACAGCACTTAAAGGTGTTATGTCCAGAGTTTGTTCCTTCAGATGTGTCCAGATATTCTTTCTTCTGGCATGTTCATGGTCTTGCTCACTTCAAGAAAGAATGAAGCTGTAGACCTTTACGGTGAGTGTTACAGCATATAAAGGTGTTATGTCCAGAGTTTTGTCCCTCAGATGTGTCCAGAATTTCTTCTTTCGGGCAGGTTCATGGTCTTGCTCACTTCAAGAATGAAGCTGCAGACCTTGGTGGTGATTGTTACAGCAGTTAAAGGTGTTTGTCCTGAGTTTGTTCCATCGGATGTGTATAGAGTTTCTTCCTTCTGGCAGGTTGATGGTCTTGCTCACTTCAAGAATGAAGCTGCAGACCTTTACGTTGAGTGTCACAGCACTTAAAGGTGTTATGTCCAGAGTTTGTTCATTCAGATGTGTCCAGAATTTCTTCCTTCTGGCAGGTTCATGGTCTTGCTCACTTCAAGAATGAAGATGCAGACATTTAGGGTGAGTGTTACGACACTTAAAAGTTTTATGTCCAGAGTTTGTTCCTTCAGATGTGGCCAGAGTTTCTTCCTTCTGGCAGGTTCCCGGTCTTGCTCACTTCAAGAATGAAGCTGCAGACCTAGGTGGTGAGCGTTACAGCACTTAAAGGTGTTATGTCCAGAGTTTGTACCGTCAGATACGTCTAGAGTTTCTTCCCTCTGGCAGGTTCATGGTCTTGCTCACTTCAAGAATGAAGCTGCAGACCTTAGTGGTGAGTGTTACAGTACTTAAAGTTGTTATGTCCAGAGTTTGTTCGTTCAGATGTGTCCAGAGTTTCTTCCATCTGGCAGGTTCATGGTCTTGCGCACTTCAAGAATGAAGCTGCAGACCTTTGAGGTGAGTGTTGCAACAATTAAAGGTGTTATGTCCAGGGTTTGTTCCTTCAGAGGTGTCCAGAGTTTCTTCCTTCTGGCAGGTTCATGGTCTTGCTCACTTCAAGAATGAAACTGTAGACCTTTACGGTGAGTGTTACAGCACTGAAAGATGTTATGTCCAGAGTTTGTTCCTTCAGATGTTTCCAGAGTTTCTTCCATCTGGCAGGTTCATGGTCTTGCTCACTTCAAGAATGAAGCTGCAGACCTTAGTGGTGAGGGTTACAGCACTTAAAGTTGTTTTATCCAGAGTTTTTTCCGTCAGATGTGTCCAGAGTTTCTTCCTTCTGGCAGGTTCATGGTCTTGCTCACTTCAAGAATGAAGCTGCAGACCTTAGTGGTGGGTGTTACAGCACTTAAAGGTATTATGCCCAGAGGTTGTTACTTCAGATGTGTCCAGAGTTTCTTCCTTCTGGCAGGTTCATGGTCTTGCTCACTTCAAGAATGAAGCTGCAGACATTTACGGTGAGTGTTACAGCACTTAAATTTGTTATATCCAGAATTTGTTCCTTCAGATGTGTCCAGAATTTCTTCCTTTTGGCAGGTTCATGGTCTTGCTTACTTCAAGAATGAAGCTGCAGACCTTTAGGGTGAGTGTTACAGCACTTAAAAGTTTTATGTCCAGAGTTTGTTCCTTCAGATGTGTCTAGAGTTTCTTCCTTCAGGCAGGTTCATGGTCTTGCTCACTTCAAGAATGAAGCTGCAGACCTAGGTGGTGAGCGTTACAGCACTTAAAGGTGTTATGTCCAGAGTTTGTTCCTTCAGATGTGTTCTGAGTTTCTTCCTTCTGGCAGGTTCATGGTCTTGCTCACTTCAAGAATGAAGCTGCAGACCTTAGTGGTGAATGTTACAGCAGTTAAAGGTGTTATGTCCAGAGTTTTTCTTTCAGATGTGTCCGGAGTTTCTTCCATCTGGCAGGTTCATGGTCTTGCTCACTTCAAGAGTGAAGCTCCAGAATTTAGTGGTGAGTGTTACAGCACTTAAATGTGTTATGTCCAGAGTTTGTTCCTTCAGATTTGTCCAGATATTCTTCCTTCTTGCAGGGACATGGTCTTGCTCACTTCAAGAAAGAATGAAGGTGCAGACCTTTACGGTGAGTGTTACAGCATATAAAGTTGTTATGTACGGAGTTTAGTCCTTCAGATGTGTCCAGAGTTTCTTCCTTCGGGCAGGTTCATGGTATTGCTCACTTCAAGGATAAAGCTGCAGACCTTGGTGGTGAGTGTTAGAGCACTTAAAGGTGTTATGTCCAGAGTTTGTTCCATCAGATGTGTATAGAGTTTCTTCCTTCTGGCAGGTTCATGGACTTGTTCACTCCAAGAATGAAGCTGCAGACCTTTACGGTGAGTGTTACAGCACTTGAAGTTGTTATATTCAGAGTTTGTTCCTTCAGATGTGTCCAGAGTTTCCTTCTTGTCTCAGGTTCATGGCCTTGTTCAATTCAAGATTGAATCTCCAGACCTTTACGGTGAGTTTTACAGCACTTAAAAGTGTTATGTTCAGAGTTTGTTCCTTCAGTTTTGTCCAGAGTTTCTTTCTTCTGGCAGGTTCATGGTCTTGCTCACTTCAAGAATGAAGCTGCACACCTTGGTGGTGAGTGTTCCAGCACTTAAAAGTGTTATGTCCAGAGTTTGTTCCATCAGATGTGTATAGACTTTCTTCCTTCTGGCAGGTTCATGGTCTTGCTTACTTCAAGAATGAAGCTGCAGACATTTACGGTGAGTGTTACAGCAATTAAAGTTGTTATATCCAGAGTTTGTTCCGTAAGATGTGTCTAGAGTTTCTTCCTTCTGGCATGTTCATGGTATTGCTCACTTCAAGTAAGAATGAAGCTGCAGACCTTTACGGTGATTGTTACAGCATATAAAGTGTTATGTCCAAAGTTTGTTCCTTCAGATGTGTCCAGAGTTTCTTCCTTCTGGCAGGTTCATGTTCTTGCTCACTTTAAGAATGAGGCTGCAGACCTAGGTGGTGAGTGTTACAGCACTTAAAGGTGTGATGTCCAGAGTTTGTTCCTTCAGATGTGTCCAGAGTTCCTTTCTTCTGGCAGGTTCATGGTCTTGCTCACTTCAAGAATGAACCTCCAGTCCTTTACGGTGAGTGTTACAGCACTAAAAAGTGTTATGTCCAGAGTTTGTTCCTTCAGATGTGTCCAGAGTTTCTTCCTTCTGGCAGGTTCATGGTCTTGCTCACTTCAAAAATGAAACTGCAGACCATTATGGTGAGTGTTACAGCACTTAAAGGTGTTATGTCCAGAGTTTGTTCCTGCAGATGTGTCCAGTTTCTTCCTCCTGGCAAGTTCATGCTCTTGCTCACTTCAAGAATGAAACTTTAGACCTTTAAGGTGAGTGTTACAGCACTGAAAGATGTTATGTCCAGAGTTTTTTCCTTCAGATATTTCCAGAGTTTCTTCCATCTCGCAGGTTCATGGTCTTGGTCACTTCAAGAATGAAGCTGCAGACCTTAGTGGTGAGGGTTACAGCACTTAAAGGTGTTATGTCCAGAGTTTTTTCCTACAGATGTGTCCAGAGTTTCTTCCTTCTGGCGGGTTCATGGTCTTGCTCACTTCAAGAATGAAGCTGCAGACCTTAGTGTTGAGTGTTACAGCACTTAAAGGTATTAAGCCCAGAGTTTGTTACTTCTGATGTGTCCAGAATTTCTTCCTTCTGGCAGGTTCATGGTCTTGCTCACTTCAAGAATGAAGCTGCAGACATTTACGG
>NT_187396.1:0-2274 GCF_000001405.40 Homo sapiens
TTTTTGTAGCATCTGCAAGTGGATATTTGGACCTCTCTGAGGATTTCGTTGGAAACGGGATAACGTCACCTAACTAAACAGAAGCTTTCGCAGAAACTTCTTTGGGATGTTTGCATTCAAAGTCCAGAGTTGAACCTTCCTTCGATAGCTCACGTTTGAAACACTCTTTTTGTAGGATCTGCAAGTGGATATTTGGAGCACTATGTGGCCTTCGTTCGAAACGGGTATATCTTCACATAAAATCCAGACAGAAGCCTTCTCAGTAACCTCTCTGTGATGATTGCATTCAACTCAGAGAGTTGAACATTCCTTTGGATAGAGCAGTTTCGAAACTCTGTTTCTCTAGAATCTGCCCATGGATAGGTGGAACTCTGTGAAGATTTCTTTGGAAACGGGAATATCTTCACATAAAGAGTAAACAGATGCCTTCTCAGAAACTTCTTTGTGAGGCATTTGTTCAACTCCCAGAGTTTAACCATGTTTTACATAGAACAGTTTTGAAACATTCTTATCGTAGAGTCTCCAAGTGGACATTTCTTGCGCTTTCAGGCCTGTGGTGGAAAAGGAAATATCTTCACATAAAAACTAGAGAGAAGCATTATCAGAGACTCCTTCTTTGTGAAGACTGCATTCAACTCACGGAGTGGAAGGCTCCTTTTGATACAGCAGCTTGGAAACACTCTTTCAGAGGGACCTGCAAGCGGATACTTGGACCTCTTTGAAGATTTCGATGGAAAAGGGATAATCTTCCCATAAAAGCTAAATGGAAGCATGCTCAGAGACTACTTTGTGATGTTTGCATTCAACTCCCAGAGTTGAACTTTCCTTTTGATAGAGCAGCTTTGAAACCGTCTCTTTCTAGAATCTGCAAGTGGATATTTGGAGGGTTTCGAGGCCTGTGGTGGAAAATCAACTATCTCCTCATAAAAGCTAGATGGAAGCATTCTCCGAAACTACATTTTGATGATCCTTTCAAGTCACAGAGTTGAACATTCCCTTTGGTAGAGCCGTTTGGAAACACACTTTTGGTAGAATCTGCAAGGGGAGATTTGGACCGCTTTGAAGCCTATGGTAGTAGAGAAAATCACTGCCCATGAAATCTAGACAGTAGCATTCTCAGGAAACACTGTGTGACGATTGAGTTCAACTCACAGAGCTGAACATTCCTTTGGATGGAGCAGTTTCGAAACACACTTTTTGTAGGATCTGCAAGTGGATATTTGTACTTCTCTGAGGATTTCGTTGGAAACGGGATAAACCACACCTAACTGAGCGGAAGCCTTGTCAGGAACTGCTTCGTGATGTTGGCATTCAACTCACAGAGTTGAACCGTCCCTTGTGAGTTCAGGTTGAAACACTCTTTTCGTAGTATCTGCAAGTGGAGATTTGGAACGCTTTGTGGCCTACGGTAGTAAAGGAAATAGCTTCGAGTAAAAACTGGACAGAAGCATTCTCAGAAAATACTTTGTGATGATTGAGTTTAACTCACAGAGCTGAACATGCCTTTGGGTGGAGCAGTTTGGAAACACACTTTTTGCAGAATCTGCAGGTGGATATTTGGACCTCTCTGAGGATTTCGTTGGAAACGGGATAACGTCACCTAACTAAACAGAAGCTTTCGCAGAAACATCTTTCTGACGTTTGCATTCAAAGTCCAGAGTTGAACCTTCCTTTGATAGTTCTCGTTTGAAACACTCTTGTTGGAGGACATGCAAGTGCATATTTGGAGCACTTTGTGGCCTTCGTTCGAAACGGGTATATCTTCACATAAAATCTACACAGAAGCCTTCTCAGAAACTTCTCTGTGATGACTGCATTCAACTCACAGAGTTGAACATTCCTTTTGATAGAGCAGTTTTGCAACTCTCTTTTTCTAGCATCTGCAAATGGATAGGTGGAACTCTGTGAAGATTTCTTAGGAAACGGGAATGTCTTCACGTAAAAAGTAAACAGAAGCATTCTCAGAAACTCGTTTGTGAGGCTTGTGTTCAACCCCCAGAGTATAACATTGCTTTTCATAGAGCAGTTTTGAAACATTCTTTTCGTAGATTCTCCAAGTGGACATTTGGAGCGCTTTCAGGCCTGTGGTGGAAAAGGAAATATCTTCACATAAAAACTAGAGAGAAGCATTGTCAGAAACTTCTTTGTGATGATTGCATTCAACTCACGGAGTTGAAGATTCCTTTCGATACAGCAATTTGGAACCCTCTTTCGGTGGAATCTGCAAGCGGATATGTGGACCTCTTTGAATATTTCGATGGAAAAGGGATAATC
>NT_187397.1:0-2165 GCF_000001405.40 Homo sapiens
TCTGTGAGTTGAACGAACACATCACAACGCAGTTTGAGGGAATGATTCTGTCTAGTTTTGAAACGAAGATATTTCCTTTTCTGCCATTGACATAAACGCTTGAAATCTACAGTTGCCAATTGCACAAATAGAGTGTTTCAAATCTGCTCTGTCTAAGGGAACGTTCAACTCTGTGAGTTGAATGCACACAACACAAGGAAGTTACTGGGAATTCTTCTGTCTAGCCTGACAGGAAAAAAACCCTTTTCCAACGAAGGCCTCTAAGTGGTCCAATTATCCACGTGCAGAGTTTACAAACAGAGTGTTTCAAACTGCTGAATGAAAAGAAAAGTTAAACTCTGAGAGTTGAACGCACACATCACAGAGCAGTTTCTGAGAATGATTCTGTCTAGTTTTTATACGACGATATTTACTTTTCTGCTTTTGGCCCCAAAGCGCTTGAAATCTCCACTTGCAAATCCAAAAAAACAGTGTTTCAAATCTGCTCTCTCTAAATGAAAGTTCAACTCTGTCAGTTGAATACACACAACACAAGGAAGTTACTGAGAATTCTTCTGTCTAGCCTTAAATGAAAAAAACCCGTTTCCAACGAAGGCCTCAAAGAAGTCCAAATATCCACGTGCAGACATTACAAACAGAGTGTTTCCTAACTGCTCTATGAAAAAAAGGTTAAACTCTGTGAGTTGAATGCCCACAGCACAAAGGAGTTTCTGAGAATCATTCTGTCTAGTTTTTATACGAAGATATTTCCTTTTCTACCATTGATCTCAAAGCGGCTGAAATCTCCACTTGCAAATTCCACAAAAAGAGTGTTTCAAGTCTGCTCTGTGTAAAGGATCGTTCAACTCTGTGAGTTGAACACACACAAAACAAGGAAGTTACTGAGAATTCTTCTGTCTAGCAGAATATGAAGAAATCCCGTTTCCAACGAAGGCCTCAAAGAGGTCTGAATATCCACTTGCAGACTTTTCAGAAAGAGTGTTTCCTAACTGCTCTATGAAAAGAAAGGTTAAACTCTGTGAGTTGAACGCACACATCACAAAGGAGTTTCTGAGAATCATTCTGTCTAGTTTCTATAGGAAGATATTTCCTATTCAACCATTGACCTCAAAGCGGCTGAAATCTCCACCTGCAAATTCCATAAAAAGAGTGTTTCAAGTCTGCTCTGTGTAAAGGATCGTACAACTCTGTGAGTTGAATACACACAACAAAAAGAAGTTACTGAGAATTCTTCTGTCTAGCAGAATATGAAGAAATCCCGCTTCCAACGAATGCCTCAAAGAGGTCTGAATATCCACTTGCAGACTTTTCAGAAAGAGTGTTTCCTAACTGCTCTATGAAAAGAAAGGTTAAACTCTGTGAGTTGAACGCACACATCACAAAGGAGTTTCTGAGAATCATTCTGTCTAGTTTTTATACGAAGATATTTCCTTTTCTATCATTGACCTCAAAGCGGCTGAAATCTCCACTTGCAAATTCCACAAATAGAGTGTTTCAAGTCTGCTCTGTGTAAAGGATCGTTCAACTCTGTGAGTTGAATACACACAACACAAGGAAGTTACTGAGAATTCTTCTGTGTAGCAGAAGATGAAGAAATCCCGTTTCCAACGAAGGCCACAAGATGTCAGAATATCCACTTACAGACTTTACAAACAGAGTGTTTCCTAACTGCTCTATGAACAGAAAGGTTAAACTCTGTGAGCTGAACGAACACATCACAACGCAGTTTGTGGGAATGATTCTGTCTAGTTTTGAAACGAAGATATTTCCTTTTCTGCCATTGACCTTAAAGCGCTTGAAATCTACACTTGCAAATTGCACAAATACAGTGTTTCAAATCTGCTCTGTCTAAGGGAACGTTCAACTCTGTGAGTTGAATGCACACAACACAAGGAAGTTACTGGGAATTCTTCTGTTTAGCCTTACATGAAAAAAACCCGTTTCCAACGAAGGCCTCTAAGTGGTCAAAATATCCACGTGCAGACTTTACAAACAGAGTGTTTCCAAACCGCTGAATGAAAAGAAAAGTAAAACTCTGAGAGGTAATCCCACACATCACGCAGCAGTTTCTGAGAATGATTCTGTCCAGTTTTTATACCAAGATATTTCCTTTTCTGCCTTTGTCCCCAAAGCGCTTGAAATCTCCACTTGCAAATTCCACAAAA
>NT_187398.1:0-1942 GCF_000001405.40 Homo sapiens
GAAGGCCTCAAGGATGTCAGAATATCCACTTGCAAACTTTACAAACAGAGTGTTTCCTAACTGCTCTGTGAAAAGAAAGGTTAAACTCTGTGAGTTGAACGCACACATCACAAAGGAGTTTCTGAGAATCATTCTGTCTTGTTTCTATACGAAGATATTTCCTTTGCTACCATTGACCCCAAAGCGGCTGAAATCTCCACTTGGAAATTCCACAAAAAGTGTGTTTCAAGTCTGCTCTGTGTAAAGGATCATTCAACTCTGTGAGTTGAATACACACAACACAAGGAAGTTTCTGAGAATTCTTCTGTCTAGCAGAATATGAAGAAATCCCGTTTCCAACGAAAGCCTCAAAGAGGTCTGAATATCCAATTGCAGACTTTACAAACAGAGTGTTTCCTAACTGCTCTATGAACAGAAAGGTTAAACTCTGTGAGTTGAACGAACACATCACAACGCAGTTTGAGGGAATGATTCTGTCTAGTTTTGAAACGAAGATATTTCCTTTTCTGCCATTGACCTTAAAGCGCTTGAAATCTACACTTGCAAATTGCACAAATAGAGTGTTTCAAATCTGCTCTGTCTAAGGGAACGTTCAACTCTGTGAGTTGAATGCACACAACACAATGAAGTTACTGGGAATTCTTCTGCCTAGCATTACATGAAAAAAACCCGTTTCCAACGAAGGCCTCTAAGTGGTCAAAATATCCACGTGCAGACTTTACAAACAGAGTGTTTCCAAACTGCTGAATGAAAAGAAAAGTTAAACACTGAGAGTTGAACGCACACATCACAGTGCAGTTTCTGAGGATGATTCTGTCTAGTTTTTATACGAAGATATTTCCTTTTCTGCCTTTGGCCCAAAAGCGCTTGTAATCTCCACTTGCAAATTCCACAAAAATAGTGTTTCAAATCTGCTCTCTCTAAATGAAAGTTCAACTCTGTCAGTTGAATACACACAACACAAGGAAGTTACTGAGAATTCTTCTGTCTAGCCTTACATGAAAAAAACCCATTTCCAACGAAGGTCTCAAAGAAGTCCAAGTATCCACGTGCAGACTATACAAACAGAGTGTTTCCTAACTGCTCTATGAAAAGAAAGGTTAAACTCTGGGAGTTCAACGCCCACATCACAAAGGAGTTTCTGAGAATCATTCTGTCTAGTTTTTATACGAAGATATTTCCTCTTCTACCATTGACCTCAAAGCGGCTGAAATCTCCACCTGCAAATTCCACAAAAAGAGTGTTTCAAGTCTGCTCTGTGTAAAGGATCGTTCAACTCTGTGAGTTGAATACACACAACACAAGGAAGTTACTGAGAATTCTTCTGTCTAGCAGAATATGAAGAAATCCCGTTTCCAACGAAGGCCTCAAAGGGGTCTGAATATCCACTTGCAGACTTTATAAACAGAGTGTTTCCTAACTGCTCTATGAAAAGAAAGGTTAAACTCTGTGAGTTGAACGCTCACAACACAAAGGAGTTTCTGAGAATCATTCTGTCTAGTTTCTATACGAAGATATTTCCTTTTCTACTATTGACCTCAAAGCGGCTGAAATCTCCCCTTGCAAATTCCACAAAAAGAGTGTTTCAAGTCTGCTCTGTGTAAAGGATCGTTCAACTCTGTGAGTTGAATACACACAACGCAAGGAAGTTACTGAGAATTCTTCTGTCTAGCAGAATATTAAGAAATCCCGTTTCCAACGGAGGCCTCAAGGAGGTCTGAATATCCACTTGCAGACTTTACAAACAGAGTGTTTCCTAACTGCTCCATGAAAAGAAAGGTAAAACTCTGTGAGTTGAACGCACACATCACAAAGGAGTTTCTGAGAATCATTCTGTCTTGTTTCTATACGAAGATATTTCCTTTTTCTACTATTGACCTCAAAGCGTCTGAAATCTCCACTTGCAAATTCCACAAAAAGAGTGTTTCAAGTCTGCTCTGTG
>NT_187399.1:0-1472 GCF_000001405.40 Homo sapiens
TTTGTTGCGCTTTCAGGCCTGTGGTGAAGAAGGAAATATCTTCACATAAAAACTAGAGAGAAGCATTGTCAGAGACTTCTTCTTTGTGATGACTGCATTCAACTCACGGAGTGGAATGCTCCTTTTGATACAGCAGCTTGGAAACACTCTTTTAGAGGGACCTGCAAGCGGATACTTGGACCTCTTTGAAGATTTCGATGGAAAAGGGATAATCTTCCCATAAAAGCTAAATGGAAGCATGCTCAGAGACTACTTTGTGATGTTTGCATTCAACTCCCAGTGTTGTACTTTCCTTTTGATAGAGCAGCTTTGAAACCCTCTCTTTCTAGAATCTGCAAGTGGACATTTGGAGGGTTTCGAGGCCTGTGGTGGAAAATCAACTATCTACTCATAAAAGCTAGATGGAAGCATTCTCCGAAACTATATTTTGATGATTCCTTTCAAGTCACAGAGTTGAACATTCCCTTTGGTAGAGCCCTTTGGAAACACACTTTTGGTAGAATCTGCAAGGGGAGATTTGGACCGCTTTGAAGCCTATGGCAGTAGAGGAAATCAATGCCCATGAAATCTAGACAGTAGCATTCTCAGGAAACACTTTGTGACGATTGAGTTCAACTCACGGAGCTGAACATTCCTTTGGATGGAGCAGTTTCGAAACACACTTTTTGTAGGATCTGCAAGTGGATATTTGGAGTACTATGTGGCCTTCGTTCGAAACGGGTATATCTTCACATAAAATCCAGACAGAAGCCTTCTCAGTAACCTCTCTGTGATGATTGCATTCAACTCAGAGAGTTGAACATTCCTTTGGATAGAGCAGTTTCGAAACTCTGTTTCTCTAGAATCTGCCCATGGATAGGTGGAACTCTGTGAAGATTTCTTTGGAAACGGGAATATCTTCACATAAAGAGTAAACAGATGCCTTCTCAGAAACTTCTTTGTGAGGCATGTGTTCAACTCCCAGAGTTTAACCTTGCTTTTCATAGAACAGTTTTGAAACATTCTTTTCGTAGAGTCTCCAAGTGGACATTTCTTGCGCTTTCAGGCCTGTGGTGGAAAAGGAAATATCTTCACATAAAAACTAGAGAGAAGCATTGTCAGAGACTTCTTCTTTGTGAAGACTGCATTCAACTCACGGAGTGGAAGGCTCCTTTTGATACAGCAGCTTGGAAACACTCTTTCAGAGGGACCTGCAAGCGGATACTTGGACCTCTTTGAGGATTTCGATGGAAAAGTTAAAATCTTACCATAAAAGCTAAATGGAAGCATGCTCAGAGACTACTTTGTGATGTTTGCATTCAACTCCCAGAGTTGTACTTTCCTTTTGATAGAGCAGCTTTGAAACCCTCTCTTTCTAGAATCTGCAAGTGGACATTTGGAGGGCTTCGAGGCCTGTGGTGGGAAAGGAAATATCTACTCATAAAAGCTAGATGGAAGCATTCTTCGAAACTACATTTTGATGATTCCTTTCA
>NT_187400.1:0-2014 GCF_000001405.40 Homo sapiens
CAGAGTTCCACCTATCCATGGGCAGATTCTAGAGAAACAGAGTTAAGAAACTGCTCTATCCAAAGGAATGTTCAACTCTCTGAGTTGAATGCAATCATCACAGAGATGTTCTGAGAAGGCTTCTATCTGGATTTTATGTGAAGATATACCCGTTTCGAACGAAGGCCACAAAGTGCTCCAAATATCCACCTGCAGATCCTACAAAAAGAGTGTTTTAAACGTGAGCTATCGAAGGAAGGTTCAACTCTGGACTTTGAATGCAAACGTCCCAAAGAAGTTTCTGCGAAAGCTTCTGTTTAGTTAGGTGAGGTTTATCCCGTTTCCAACGAAATCCTTAGAGAAGTCCAAATATCCACTTGCAGATCCTACAAAAAGTGTGTTTCGAAACTGCTCCATCCAAAGGAATGTTCAGCTCTGTGAGATACACTCAATCATCACAATGTATTTTCTGAGAATGCTTCTGTAAAGTTTTAACTCGAAGCTATTTCCTTTACTACCGTAGGCCACAAAGCGTTCCAAATCTCCACTTGCAGATACTACGAAAAGAGAGTTTCAACCTGAACTCACAAGGGACGGTTCAATTCTCTGAGTTGAATGCCAAAATCACGAAGAAGTTCCAAACAATGCTTCTGTTTAGTTAGGTGAGGTTTATCCCGTTTCCAACGAAATCCTCAGAGAAGTCCAAATATCCACTTGCAGATCCTACGAAAAGTGTGTTTCGAAACTGCTCCATCCAAAGGAATGTTCAGCTCTGTGAGTTGAACTCAATCGTCACAAAGTGTTTCCTGAGAATGCAACTGTCTAGTTTTTATGGGCAGTGATGTCCTCTACTGCCATAGGCTTCAAAGCGGTCCAAATCTCCCCTTGCAGATTCTACCAAAAGTGTGTTTCCAAACGGGTCTACCAAAGGGAATATTCAACTCTGTGACTTGAAAGGAATCATCAAAATGTAGTTTCGGAGAATGCTTCCATCTAGCTTTTATGAGTAGATATTTCCTTTTCCACCACAGGCCTCGAAGCCCTCCAAATGTCCACTTGCAGATTCTAGAAAGAGAGGGTTTCAAAGCTGCTCTATCAAAAGGAAAGTACAACTCTGGGAGTTGAATGCAAACATCACAAAGAAGTCTCTGAGCATGCTTCCATTTGGCTTTTATGGGAATATTATCCCTTTCCCATCGAAATCTTCAAAGAGGTCCAAGTATCCGCTTGCAGTTCCCTCTGAAAGAGTGTTTCCAAGCTGCTGTATCAAAAGGAGCCTTCCACTCCGTGAGTTGAATGCAGTCATCACAAAGAAGTAGTCTCTGACAATGCTTCTCTCTAGTTTTTATGTGAAGATATTTCCTTTTCCACCACAGGCCTGAAAGCGCTCCAAATGTCCACTTGGAGACTCTACGAAAAGAATGTTTCAAAACTGTTCTATGAAAAGCAAGGTTAAACTCTGGGAGTTGAACACATGCCTCACAAAGAAGTTTCTGAGAAGGCATCTGTTTACTCTTTATGTGAAGATATTCCCATTTGCAAAGAAATCTTCACAGAGTTCCAGCTATCCATGTGCAGATTCTAGAGAAACAGAGTTTCGAAACTGCTCTATCCAAAGGAATGTTCAACTCTCTGAGTTGAATGCAATCATCACAGAGACGTTTCTGAGAAGGCTTCTGTCTGGATTTTATGTGAAGATATACCCGTTTCGAACGAAGGCCACAAAGTGCTCCAAATATCCACTTGCAGATCCTACAAAAAGAGTGTTTCAAACGTGAGCTATCGAAGGAAGGTTCAACTCTGGACTTTGAATGCAAATGTCCCAAAGAAGTTTCTGCGAAAGCTTCTGTTTAGTTAGGTGACGTTATCCCGTTTCCAACGAAATCCTCAGAGAGGTCCAAATATCCACTTGCAGATGCTACAAAAAGTGTGTTTCAAAACTGCTCCATCCAAAGGAATGTTCAGCTCTGTGAGTTACACTCAATCATCACAAAGTATTTTCTGAGAATGCTTCTGTCCAGTTTTACTCGAAGCT
>NT_187400.1:8098-10599 GCF_000001405.40 Homo sapiens
AACGGCTCTCCAAAGGGAATGTTCAACTCTGTGACTTGAAAAGAAATCATCAAAATGTAGTTTCGGAGAATGCTTCCATCTATCTTTTATGAGTAGATATTTCCTTTTCTACCACAGGCCTCGAAGCCCTCCCAATGTCCACTTGCAGATTCTAGAGAGAGAGGGTTTCAAAGCTGCTCTATCAAAAGGAAAGTACAACACTGGGAGTTGAATGCAAACATCACAAAGAAGTCTCTGAGCATGCTTCCATTTAGCTTTTATGGGAAGATTATCCCTTTTCCATCGAAATCTTCCAAGAGCTCCAAGTATCCGCTTGCAGGTCCCTCTGATAGAGTGTTTCCAAGCGGCTGTATCAAAAGGAGCCTTCCACTCCGTGAGATGAATGCAGTCATCACAAAGAAGAAGTTTCTGACAATGCTTCTCTCTAGTTTTTATGTGAAGATATTTCCTTTTCCACCACAGGCCTGAAAGCGCTCCAAATGTCCACTTGGAGACTCTACGAAAAGAATGTTTCAAAACTGTTCTATGAAAAGCAAGGTTAAACTCTGGGAGTTGAACACATGCCTCACAAAGAAGTTTCTGAGAAGGCATCTGTTTACTCTTTATGTGAAGATATTCCCGTTTGCAAAGAAATCTTCACAGAGTTCCACCTATCCATGTGCAGATTCTAGAGAAACAGAGTTTCGAAACTTCTCTATCCAAAGGAATGTTCAACTCTCTAAGTTGAATGCAATCATCACAGAGAGGTTCCTGAGAAGGCTTCTGTCTGGATTTTATGTGAAGATATACCCGTTTCGAACGAAGGACACAAAGTGCTCCAAATATCCACTAGCAGATCCTACAAAAAGAGTGTTTCAAACGTGAGCTATCGAAGGAAGGTTCAACTCTGGACTTTGAATGCAAACGTCCCAAAGAAGTTTCTGCGAAAGCTTCTGTTTAGTTAGGTGACGTTATCCCGTTTCCAACGAAATCCTCAGGGAGGTCCAACTGTCCACTTGCAGATTCTACAAAAAGTGTGTTTCAAAGCTGCTCCATCCAAAGGAATGTTCCGCTCTGTGAGTTCAACTCAATCATCTCGAAGTATTTTCTGCGAATGCTTCTGTCCAGTTTTTAAAAGAAGCTATTTCCTTTACTACCGTAGGCCTCAAAGCGTTCCATATCTCCACTTGCAGATACTACGAAAGGAGTGTTTCAACTTGAACTCACAAGGGAATGTTCAACCACGTGAGTTGAATGCCAACATCACGAAGAAGTTTCTGAGAATGCTTCTGTTTAGTTCTGTGAGGTTTTCCCCTTTCCAACGAAATCCACAGAGAAATCCAAACACCCACTGGCAGATTCTACAAAAAGTGTGTTTCGAAACTGCTCCATCCAAAACAATGTTCAGCTCTGTGGGTTGAACTCAATCGTCACAAAGTGTTTCCTGAGAATGCTGCTGTCTAGTTTTTATGGGCAGTGCTTTCCTCTACTGCCATAGGCCTCAAAGCGGTCCAAATCTCCCCTTGCCGATTCTACCAAAAGTGTGTCTCCAAACGGCTCTATCAAAGGGAATGCTCAACTCTGTGACCTGAAAGCAGTCATCACAAAGTAGTTTCTGAGAATGCTTCCGTCTAGGTTTTATGAGTAGATATTTCCTTTTCCACCACAGGCCTCGAAGCCCTCCAAATGTCCACTTGCAGATTCTAGAAAGAGAGGGTTTCAAAGCTGCTCTATCGAAAGGAAAGTACAACTCTGTGAGTTGAATGCAAACATCACCAAGAAGGCTCTGAGCACGCTTCCGTTTAGCTTTTATGGGAAGATTATCCCTTTTCCATCGAAATCTCCAAAGAGGTCCAAATACCCGCTTGCAGGTCCCACTGAAAGCGTGCTTCCAAACTGCTGTATCAAAAGGAACCTTCAACTACGTGAGTTGAATGCCATCATCACAAAGACGTTTCTGACAATGCTTCTCTCTAGTTTTGAGGTGAAGATATTTCCTTTTCCACCACAGGCCTGAAAGCGCTCCAAACGTCCACTTGGAGACTCTACGAAAAGAATGTTTCAAAACTGCTCTATGAAAAGCAAGGTTGAAGTCTGGGAGTTGAACACATGCCTCACAAAGGAGTTTCTGAGAAGGCATCTGTTTACTCTTTAAGTGAAGATATTCCCGTTTCCAAGGAAATCTTCACAGAGTTCCACCTATCCATGTGCAGATTCTAGAAAAAAGAGAGTTTCGAAACTTCTCTATCCAAAGGAATGTTCAACTCTGTGAGTTGGATGCAATCATCACAGAGAAGTTTCTGAGAAGGCTTCTGTCTGGATTTTATGTGAAGATATACCCATTTCGAACGAAGGCCACAAAGTGCTCCCAATATCCACTTGCAGATCCTACAAAAAGGGTGTTTCAAACGTGAACTGTCAAAGGGAGTTTCAACTCTGGACTTTGAATGCAAACGTCACAAAGAAGATTCTGCAAAAGCTTCTGTTTAGTTAGGTGACGTTATCCCGTTTCAAACGAAATC
>NT_187400.1:19783-21476 GCF_000001405.40 Homo sapiens
ACAAAAAGTGTGTTTCAAAACTGCTCAATCCAAAGGAATGATCCGCTCTGTGAGTTCAACTCAATCATCCCAAAGTATTTTCTGCGAATGCTTCTGTCCAGTTTTTACAAGAAGCTATTTCCTTTACTACCGTAGGCCTCAAAGCGTTCCAAATCTCCACTTGCAGATACTACGAAAAGAGTGTTTCAACTTGAACTCACAAGGGAATGTTCAACCCCGTGAGTTGAATGCCAACATCACGAAGAAGTTTCTGAGAATGCTTCTGTTTAGTTCTGTGAGGTTTATCCCGTTTCCAACGAAATCCACAGAGAAATCCAAACACCCACTTGCAGATTCTACAAAAAGTGTGTTTCGAAACTGCTCCATCCAAAACAATGTTCAGCTCTGTGGGTTGAACTCAATCGTCACAAAGTGTTTCCTGAGAATGCTGCTGTCTAGTTTTTATGGGCAGTGATTTCCTCTACTGCCATAGGCCTCAAAGCGGTCCAAATCTCCCCTTGCAGATTCTACCAAAAGTGTGTTTCCAAACGGCTCTATCAAAGGGAATGTTCAACTCTGTGACCTGAAAGCAATCATCACAAAGTAGTTTCTGAGAATGCTTCCATTTACGTTTTATGAGTAGATATTTCCTTTTCCACCACAGGCCTCGAAGCCCTCCAAATGTCCACTTGCAGATTCTAGAAAGAGAGGGTTTCAAAGCTGCTCTATGGAAAGGAAATTACAACTCTGTGAGTAGAATGCAAACATCACCAAGAAGGCTCTGAGCATGCTTCCGTTTAGCTTTTATGGGAAGATTATCCCCTTTCCATCGAAATCTCCAAAGAGCTCCAAATATCCGCTTGCAGGTCCCACTGAAAGAGTGTTTCCAAACTGCTGTATCAAAAGGAACCCTCAACTCCGTGAGTGGAATGCCATCATCACAAAGACGTCTCTGACAATGCTTCTCTCTGGTTTTGAGGTGAAGATATTTCCTTTTCCACCACAGGCCTGAAAGCGCTCCAAACGTCCACTTGGAGACTCTACGAAAAGAATGTTTCAAAACTGCTCTATGAAAAGCAAGGTTGAAGTCTGCGAGTTGAACACATGCCTCACAAAGAAGTTTCTGAGAAGGCATCTGTTTACTCTTTAAGTGAAGATATTCCCGTTTCCAAGGAAATCTTCACAGAGTTCCACCTATCCATGTGCAGATTCTAGAAAAAAGAGAGTTTCGAAACTTCTCTATCCAAAGGAATGTTCAACTCTGTGAGTTGCATGCAATCATCACAGAGAAGTTTCTGAGAAGGCTTCTGTCTGGATTTTATGTGAAGATATACCCATTTCGAACGAAGGCCACAAAGTGCTCCCAATATCCACTTGCAGATCCTACAAAAAGAGTGTTTCAAACGTGAACTGTCAAAGGAAGTTTCAACTCTAGACTTTGAATGCAAACGTCACAAAGAAGATTCTGCAAAAGCTTCTGTTTAGTTAGGTGACGTTTTCCCGTTTCCAACGAAATCCTCAGGGAGGTCCAAATGTCCACTTGCAGATTCAACAAAAAGTGTGTTTCAAAAGTGCTCCATCCAAAGGAATGTTCCGCTCTGTGAGTTCAACTCAATCATCCCAAAGTATTTTCTGCGAATGCTTCTGTCCAGTTTTTACACGAAGCTATTTCCTTTACTACCGTAGGCCTCAAAGCGTTCCCAATCTCCACTTG